>NC_000002.12:102944163-103247193 GCF_000001405.40 Homo sapiens
GATGTGAAGCGCTAAGGAAATAGTTTGTATAGCATAGAACAGGCATGGCTAATTGGGGTTTGTGATTACACAGATTGTTGTTAAGGAGAATTAACTACCAGCAGTCTCTCCTGCAAAGCTTCTCATCAAGGCAAAGTAAAAATAGACACTGGATCTGTTATTTATCTAATTATACCTCGAATATTTTCACAAGCATGTTACACACTCTCAAATGGTTTGTTCAAAAACTTTGGGTTCCACACTGCTTGTGATCAAAGTGTCAATATGAATTTTTCGACACTGGGCTCTCTTCAGATCACTTTTCTTAAGTCTCTGCTCACAGGTGGTGGGCACTGAAGACTTGAAGCTGGAAGACTGGCTGGGATTACCAAGTGTTCTGGGAAGGGGCATATCATGATAGGGGATGGCCCTGTTTACTGAAACTTCATGGAGGCCTGTAAGCCACTGGTTCAGGGTGTTTACATCAGAATTACCTTTACAGGAGGCAACAGAGAAAGCTTAGCAGCTTTGAGGCCTTCAGTTACCACAAACCTGAATTCATAGGAAAGGCATTGGCTTCCTTTGATCCATGGCTAAAGTTTATTGCTTTCTTCCCATGGTCACGCTCTAAATCCTGACAGGCTCCTCAGAGCCCTTATTTATAGGATATGTTGAACCTTATATTATAGAGCCCATAGAAGAACCGATTAGTTCTCATGACCACCTATTTAATCAGTATTTCTTGGATTGAGAGACACTTGGAGATACTGGCAGATCCTCAGGCAGGAGCCCTACCACACCCACATAACCACGCATTTACCTGCTTTCCTATCACTCTGGTAGTCCTTAAGTCCCCTTTGACATCTCCAGTTTGGTTTTTCATTGTCCTTGGATTCTGATAGTCTTTTAGCCATGAATCATTTTATTGAATGTTTTGGTCCTATATGGGCAGGATCAAAGCTTCTCTCCCAGAGGGAAAACAGTGTCTTCACTCACCTCTTTCTAAGACCATGGGATCTGATCCTGTGTCCTCATGGCTGTGCTGGTGGTAGCATTTGGAGGATAACGTGAGTGGGTAGAAATGTGTGAGGAGCTTGGGAGGAAGCTTTGAGTCAGTGCTGTATGAATCTTAAACAGTTAGGAAAAAGCATTGCCTTAAGTACACTATTCTAAAAGACATTTCATAGAATATTCTGCAACATATGAAATGCAAATTTATTGACAAGGTGATATTTTCTGAAGACAAGGTATCATCTGGAAGCTTTATTTGAATGGTGACAAACAGCATCTCTAAGGATATTAGCAGGCATGAGTGTAAGTGCATGGTGTACGTATTTGCTGTCTGACTTTGGTGATACTCCTCAGCTGTATAAACCAAACGTAATAGCTTCAAAAATTGCTTTAATAGACCTAAGATCAACCAGGAGCATACATTAGTGAAACAACTTACAGATTTCAACTCTTACTTATTTGCTTACAGTTTTTTCCTTACTCATCTGTCCGCTTTTTGTTTAATCTTCATTATTAAAATGGTCAAGTTGCTGCCGGAAATTATGCACCAGGCTTAATTTTGAACTTGGTGAACAGTAAAGAGCAGGAGAAAATATACATTCTCCCCTTCATTTGCTCGAGTTAGCATCTGAGAAAGTTCTTGTGTGGATAAATATAGCTAGTTCCTAAAATTGAATTTCCTGCATTATTATTATTAACAGTTTGCTACGACCAATATGCTATGCAGCAGTCTGTGGATGATATCTGCAATTCACTACCTTCCTATGTGAAAAGAAGATAAAAATTATATTATATGGGTGTATGCAAATTACAGAGGGCCTGGCCTTGTGCTCCAGTAATTCTTATATGTGCTTCTACGTTGTCCACTTCGAATGACAGGTACTGAAATTCAAATGGTTTCCAATAAAAATCCTGTAACCTGAAACGAATCCCTACTGAATAATTAGAATATCTCACCCATAAAAGGTAATCATGTGTCTTCCATTTCTGAAGAAGCCTCTATCCCCGATCAGCATCGATGGAGCTTTGGTCAGATTAGATCTTTAATTCTTATAAAAAAGACATAATACTCATTCTTTATGAGGAAGCCTTCTGTTGGGGCTGACAGCCTTATGCTGTCACAGCTTTCAAGGGTCAGAACTGCTCTCAGTGCTTAATATGAGAGAAAAAATAGAAGGAGGTGAGATGGACTCTGCATTATTTTAGACACACAAGAAAGATGCGTAGTCTTTCCCCAGATGCAGCTAGGCGACTGCATATCTCACAGGCTAAGATGGACACACTGTAGTGTGTAATGTCTGGTGCCACTGCAGGGCATCTTGCTTCCCAAACTTCTTGTTTTTACTGCTTACAAACCAAAGTGGTAACTTCAGGGGAAAAAAATCCTAATATCATTCTACCAACTACAAATGCACCGACGCCTGCAACATGGTAGAGGTAAGGTGAGAGGATTTGAGAAGGAGAAGCCTGGATTCAGATCCTGGCTGGCCCCCTCACTAACTGGAACCTCTTGGGCAGACAATTATTGTCTCTGGCCCCCATTTTACCACCTGTGAAAGTCTGATGGCAAGAGACCTTCATGTGGATCAAATAAGTTAAAGTCTGCACGATGCATGCGGGTACTCTTTGTTCCAGCTAGCTCAAGCATGGGGGATGGTCTTAGACCAGAGGATGGGTGCCCCTCAAAGCTTCATTCTTCTTTAGATGCAGGCAGGGCAGGTCAAATATACAAGGCAAATCACTTAGAAGAAAAAGCCTTGTCAAAATGATGGAGAAACAGAAATTCTTAACAGAGAGAGGAACGAAGTCCTGGAAATGTAAGTTAGCAAAGCTCATGAACTGTGAATTCTCTAAATTACCAGCATAACAATGAGTAACAATAGTTTGGTTCCAATTTTCTATAATATATTTATGATATAAGGAGGCCCCTGTCCCTTGTCAAAAAAATCTACAAATCATTCCTAAAACACAAATAACAGTCACATTAAGAGGAACAAATTATAATGCTGAAATATGTCCTTGGGCTGGAAACAAGGAAACAATGTAAAAGTGGAACAGCACACTACAAAAAATATGGCCTAATGATACATATTAAAATAATTATACATAGTTAGCAATTCTCCTCACATAATTTATTGAACTTGGTCCCACGACTGCCTATTTTGCCAGCTCTCTAGATATTTCTATTTCAGAGGATTTTGACATTGATGTCATTTTTTTTACTCTCCACAAAGTGGTAAAAAATAGAAAAGTCAGAATTTGCCCATAAAATCGCATAAAATACAATCTCAGCTCATAGATCCCAAACGAGTACACATTTTTATAAATGTATGATAAAAAATATTTAATGTCTGAAGTAAATGTTATTTATTGAATCTCTGGCCAAATACTATAAAATATATTATAATCCAGAAATATTTTAAATTTAGTGATGCCGGATTCAATATGATAACAATTATAAGGAGATGTCTATATATATTTTACTCTTCATATAATGTGTTAAGGATGATAATTTATGTTTCAACATTTTTTGGTTTTATAAACATTTCAATTTAACATCCCTTAACTTACTACTCAGCAATTATACAATTTAGAATGTAAGAATAAGAGTAAAAAATTTACAAATAGATAATTACATTTCTGTGTATGTAAACATAAAATATTATTCAAACCAAGAGATTTAGTAGGACTCCCCTTTATATGACCATATATTTCCTAACCGTACCTGTGCATAGGCATCTACTACTATGACTGGATTAAATTACAGAATAAATATTTTTAGTTGTTGGTTTTCTTGCTCTGATTATTTCAAAAGACCTACAGAAATTATATCTCAAGTGTAAATTGGTTGAATTTAAAGTTCTCTATTATATCTTAGATCTGTAGAACGTAGCATAGAAAGACTATATCCATTAAGTGTATTTATATTCACCAATCTATTTAGAAATAAACATGCTATATACATGCAATATATGTAAACTATGCCATTGACTATAGTACCATATGTAGAAAACATTTGCATTAAGGTTTGAGTTTAAATAATAGTACAGAAAGTATCTTCAAATATCTTAAAGACATATGTGGATTACATGACTAAGAACCATGATAAAACATCCTATCTAAATATTTTACACCGAGGTGAGCAAAATATATGTGTATATTATGTAGTCTGTCTCTTTGAGGGTGATACACACATGAGTGCATATAAATGTTTTAATAGTAATCACGTAGTAACGGGCAATACACCATTTAATTTAAAATTCTTAATAAGAAGTTGCTTTAAATTCTTTCGCTTCAAAATTCTTCATTGTACCTAATATTGAAAAATGTATTCGTCATAATTACCAGCACGTGACAACATTCTCATTGAAAGATATTTAACAGTAAGAGAAATGTGATGGCTTAGGGTTGTTTTTTACTGAGCCCACTAAAATCTATTCTGTCTTAAAAATCAGTTACATTAAGAAGTTAAACTTTTGATTTACTGCATTCTATAAAGTATCTTTAAAAGTACCCCAATGACTAGGTTGTAATGGCACGACCCTAAAAATTACAATTAAATTTTGGCATAACTTTTGTTCAGTTTTTTTTGTAATGGCTTGATTGTGGCAAGACAAGGGCTTCAAATTACATTTTCTGGGAATTTTAAGATATTTAAATGGAGAGCAATCTAAACATTACCATATATGTTGCAACCCTCCTCCCCAAACACTAGGTTAAATTCAAGCAAGAACACCTACTCTGCAGGTCCTGAGTTAGCAGCTTCCCAGATTCATTCGGTGAGTCCAGACCTCATTTTGAGATAAAGCACTTGGTGGACCCTGAATTACTGAGTCCTCCAGGGGTGGTGGATTTTGATGTGTGCTAATCCCAAGTAAGCAGATGCGCAGGGACCCCAAAAGTTTAAACATTTAAAGGAAAAAAATAGTCTCCCCACTTAAGTCTAGGCGACTATTTAATGGACATACACTGCAATGTCTGTTCAGGCACTGCGGTAGGTTAGGGGAAATAATTCTGTGTATGAGACATTAAATGTGATCCCAGGGCAAACAGGAGCTGTCCTGGACAGACTTGTGTCTGGTGAGGAAGACAGATGTGCAAACAGCAGCACCCAGAGGCAAGGTCAAAATTGTGATGCCAGCACAGAGGCCCAATTGAGCACCACGAAAAAAGAGGGATGAAAAAATAGTTCGTTTCCTGGAAATCCTTCTATAAGAGAAGACGTTGATTCTCCATCCTGAAAAATGAACTGGTGTTGGCTAGGAGCGTAGGGAGAGAAATGGCATTTCAGGCAGAGGGCACAGCCTGGGCAAAAACTCCGGAGTGTGAGAAAGGACACAGCGATTGCTTAAGGAATCATACATAGTTTTTTATAATTATATTGCAAACTGCATGTGCACATATGATAGGAGATGACCCTAGAAAGGAGGGTTCTGTCACATCATAAAAATTCCCAGAGATCCAGCTAAAAAGCAGTTTTTCTAAGAACAAGGGCAACCAACAGAGAATGCTCTAAAGCACTGAGCCTGGCTGGATATTTTGGCTGCTCTTAGTTTTGATAGTTTATCCATCTCTTCAGGTAGTCAGTCAGCTATATATTTAACAATAAACACTAAATACCTAATACTGTCTAGGCAATAATT
Organism: Homo sapiens; assembly: GCF_000001405.40. Classification (NCBI taxonomy): domain Eukaryota; kingdom Metazoa; phylum Chordata; class Mammalia; order Primates; family Hominidae; genus Homo; species Homo sapiens. Next base: position 102,949,797 of record NC_000002.12, read on the forward strand.
AATAGTCATTGTGATTATGCAGTAAATTCTGGATGTATTATTGAGCACCTTGTAGACTTTGAACGATGCCGGGTTCTGTGAGCCCACAGACATCAGACACAATCCTCATCCTCAAAAAACTGCTGCAATATCCTCCAGCATTCTTCCACTCTGATTTCTAAATAAGCAAATACATATCATGGGTTCCTAAAAATAATTTTTGTCTAGTTATAAAATAATGCCTGTTAAGTGTAGAAAATTTTAAAAATTCAGCAAAGCCCAAAGAAAATATTGTGGTTAAGATAACACTAGATGCTGTAATTGATGTCTAATACTGTCATAGATAAATCTAATACGTGTAATGTCTTAATAGAAGTTTATTTCTTGCTTAGTCCAATGTGAGTGTTTGGCCAAGTGCCCTCCATGTGGAAATTCAAGGACCCAGTCTCCTGTCTGGTGGCACTGTTATCCCCCAGGGCCTCAGAGTTATTTCCTTCTCTCTGGCAGAGAGGAAACAGGGAAGGAGTGTGGGAGAGACAAAGCTGTATTCACCAGATCCCATATCTTATTCCTTATTCCTGGAAAATGATACTTCTCTGTCCTTTATGTGGTGTTACTAGGATCAGTTCTGGCCACTGAGATGTGAGCAGAATAATGTGTGTCACTTTTAGACAGAGGCAGTGAAAAGTCCACAAGTGTTTCAATTCCCTAGTCTCCATTTTGCATGGTGAATATAAACGCCTCACGTTGAGAACACAGAGCCACATGATTGAAGCAGATTGAATCCCTGAGTTACCAGATGGAGGACAGCTGCCCTGGGGAAATGTCTGGAAGCACAGTGGACACTGCATTGGAAAGAAATAAGATTTTTTTGTGTTGAGAATTATTAGAATTTTGGAGTCGTTTGTTGCCACAGCATAGCCTAACCTCTTCTGACTCATGCAGGAAGACAGGCCTACTTCTTAACCACCTTGCCAAGCAGTGGCAAGTATCATGTTCACACACATTTTATTGGTAGGAACTAGTCCTGGGGCCCTTCTAGAGGTTGTTTTTGTCAGGCCAGCCTCTTCTGCACAGCTTCTCTACACTGTTAGATAGGATATGGTGGTCCTTGGCTATGGGAATATCAGCTGTTGAAGGCCCACAGCTGGTTGGCTCACTGGGCATTGCCTGTGGCTAATGACTGGCTGATTCACAGACCCAGACCCTTTGCTTCAATTTAGGAAAATTCTGAAGGGCCATCACAGCTCCAGAACTATCTGAAGGATTGACAGAAAACTCAGTTGCAACTGCACAGTGTGTGGACTTCTCCCTCTACTGAATTCTGCCACCACTTCTTTATAGGTGTAGGTCAAATTTCTGCATCCAACTCTCGCTCTGACTCTTTTTCCAAGGAGCCTAATTTAAGACAACTATGAAAGTAGAGAATACATCACTGGATAGCTAACTCTCTGTCATAGAAGAAAGTTAAATTTTTATGGAATTGCTATATAGTCTAGTCATTTAATGTATACAGACATGGATGCATATGTGTATATATGCATTTTTATTTATACATAAATAAATATTTATTAGGAAGTTTATTTTGCTTAAGTATAAAGAAAAATTTTATTTCTAAGCCCCTGCTGCCTTCTGATGAGGGTGGGTCTTATCATTCCAGGGCTTGTGGTTTGTTGGGCTGCAGGTATGAGTAGGCATTTTTGGAGGGAGAGGCTGGACACAGCTGAATTGCTGTGTGTATATAAAGGGAAGAGGACTATGAAGGGTCAGTTTGAAAATTCAGGAGGCAGCATCAGGGGCCAGCAGTGGGGTCCTGTGTGAAGATAAGGGAGGAAAAGGGATCTCGGTGGCAGCGCGATACTGATGAGTGTGGGAAGAAGAGAAGTGCTTCATGGGACTCCCAAGTAATTTTCTACATAATACATATGACATAAAACACCTTGACTAGTTCCCCAAGGCTCTTGGGAGGGTCTGTGTTGGAGACTCTCTTGGGACAACTTTGAGAGGATAAGAGTAGGAGATGAAATCATCCTGTCCTCACACACATCCAAATAAAAAGCAAACAATTGCACAGAACATTTTCTGAGCGCTGGTCTAGCATACCACATCAATTCCATCTTTAAAAACCCATCTTAAACAATGCTGCCACAAACATCCTAGTGGATAAAACTTTGAGCATATATATGATTAATCAATTAGGGAAAAAATTCCAGAGGAGGAATTGATGATGAAATCTAGTGAAGATTTTTAAGACTTTTGATGCTTCTGTGTAATTATGGTCCCATAGTTTATGCCAGTTTATTGTTGAAGTGATTGATCACTTGAAATGTAATATTGCAAACATTTTACCTTCTTTTGTCCTATCTTTTAAAATAACACACATACATATTTTGATGCACAAAGATTTGAAGTTTTACGGAGTAGCACAACATTTGCTTTGTAAATTTGGCGTTGCCATTCACTTGAAAAAGGCATTCTTCATTCTGATGCATTGACTTTTGGACTATATTGAATTCATTTTACACTTCATGAAGTCATTGGTAGTTTTCCTGCTTTTAGTATTTGGCACTCAGTATTTTTGCATTACTTTTGTAAGTGGAAATATTTTCGTGAGAGACAATATCCAGTTAGTCAATTGTTATAACATCATTTAAAATATTTTCTATTATTTCTCTGTTTATCTGAGGTGCCATTGTTGTCATATGCTAAACGTTTAGAGATATTAGGGCTTACCTCAAGGCTACATTGGTATATCAGTTGTGTATTAATTTTATATTACAATTTTGAATTATAATAATAAAGTATACTATTGCAAAAATTATAATTATAGTTATACATTATAAACAATTATATGGGAATATTAACAGGTAAAAAATTAAACTTTTTGATAAAGAAGAATGATATATCAACCTTTTATTAAAATCTTGTATCATTCTCCACTGTAAAACATTATCGTTTTCTTAATATAGGTCTTCCATTTTTAAAAACTTGGTCTGAGCAATTTTTTGTGTATTTGTGAATGGAGACATTTCCAATCATACTCTCTAATTAGTTATTTCTAGTATATAAAAAAGCTCTCATGTATGTATAGGGGAGGTGTGTTTTGAAGTTAGCCACCTTACTAAATTTTCTTGTTTATTTTATTTGTTTTTGAGTTGACTCTATAATTTCCTAGGTTGGCAATCTTATCATTAATAACTAATCATAATTTTTATCTTATTTCCACTATTTATACCTCACTTTTTCCTATAGTTTTATTAAACTGGCTAGAACAATTGGAAGATATTTCCCAATGATAGTGCATATATACTGTGTGTGTCCCTATGTATACATAGGTGTATATTTGTATTTCTGATACCATACCAAATCCTTGCAGCTTATTGCTATTAGATACAATGTTAAGGAAATATCCTTTATTAGTATTGCAGGAAGATTATTATTGTTTTAAAAATTAATAATAATGAATTTGATTAACTTTCATGGGTCTTGAAAGAAAGCCTTGGCATTGTGCACCCCATTTTGTACGTGTGTGGACATTTCTCAGGGAAGAGAAATTATAGTTGACGTTTTCAACAAGATCTCTCTCTTCCACAATGTCATACTGCTTCAATTGGACAGTTTTTCTTACTATTAATGCAATATTTTCCATATTTTGATTTTTCTAATGTGAAAATCTTTTGTGTTCCTGAACTAGCTTTGTTACTGCACATTTTCTTGCAATATATTAGTGAATTTGATTTGCTGGTATTTTATTTAGGATTTTTGGATCTTTATCGTGAGTGAAATTTATCTGCATTTTTTATTTTGGATCACTATTTTTGTCTCATATTGGTATCAAGATTACTCATGAAAATAGCTATTATGTTTTAGTGTTGATCATATTTGAAAAAAATAAGATTTCTCTTTACTTTGGAGTGTTAAAAGCACCAACTTGGAAGTACTATATTAAAAGTACCAACTTATATAAACTCTCTGGATTGGGCATTTATGTCCATTGTGGACATAAATTTTAAATTATTTGTATTTTATGAAAATTAAATATTTGATCAGTTTGGATACATATACATGTGTCAATTTTAGTTATTATTTATTTCCTAGAGACTTTACTTTTGTCATATTTGAAAATTTATAAGCATAAGTTTGTCTGTAGTATATCCTGATAGTTGATAAAAAAGCCATCAGAATTTATAATTAAACTTCTATTTTTGTACCTGTTTAGGAATATGTGTGCTTTTATTTTTTAACTTGTTTTTGCCAGACGCATTATAATTTTATTAAGTTTGTTAGCATTTTTGAATAATCAATTATTGGATTTATTTGTCTATTGTTTTCTAATTTACTTTTATATTTCTTATTATTTCATCATACTTTTCTAGAATTTTTGTTATGCTATGAATTCTGTACCTAAAATTTCATACATTTATATTTACTAGTTCTTTTTCCTTTAAAAGTATTCATGGTTTTGCTTTTTCTCAATATTGCTTTGGCCTTATCTCAAAAGTTTTGATATGTAATATTTTTGATGTTGCTATTTTTACCTTTTTAAAAATTATATTTTAGAATATCTCAAAGGATATAACATGCCTTTTGCTGGAAATTTTTAAAATACAAGCTGACGAAAAGAAGAAAATGAAAACCACTTGTATGCAGTTGTATTACTGTCATGATTTCACACATATTTAATAACTGCAGTTTATATTTTTCTTTGATATGAAATTTAAATATTTTAAAATATTTCTATTTAAAAATTTGTTTCTTTGCTAGTTTTATTACAACGACAACAGAGAATGTGACTTTATTTTTTCTTTATTTTTATTTTCTGCTGACTGCAGCCTCAGCTGAAAGAGTGTGACTTTTTGCTTCATTCTGTTGGAAATTTAGTGAATTTTGTTTTGTGGTCCATAAATGATTAAATTTTATAAATGTTCAAGGATGATATGAAAGAGAATGAATTCTGCCTGTTTAGTACAAAATTTAATTTTTATATATTTAATTCAGTGTTACTAATTACATCTTCCAGATTATTTTTCATTTACCACATCAGGCAATGACAGTGCATTCATGTCATGGAATACCTTTATTTGTCCTTTTCTCTTTATGTTACATAAGTGGTAGGTAGTGATTAATATGTCTTAATAAAAATGTATGTGATGCTTACAGGCTTAAGGGAATGATGTCTCCTTTGATAACTAACATTTATAAAAAATTATTTGCCTCTTGTAAATTTTTTATAATTCAGCTTTCTTTGATATAAATATTGCAATTCCTGATTTCCCGTTATTGCACCTGTTACGTCTATCTTTTTCTATCCTGTTGCTTACCCGCAGTAAAAACTCTGTATTTGATGCATTTTTTCCTGAAGATATATTGTTTGAATTTGGTTTTTGCCTAGTAAAGACTTTTTATCTTTAATAGACAAGTAAATTGATTTATATTGATTATTGTGATGTTCAGTTTTACTTAAGTCACCTTGTGCTGTTTTGTGTATGTGCAGATGTGTGCTTGCTTGATAAATCCTTCTGCTTATTTTGCAATATTGCATATTGTTTTTGTCATTTTTATTTTTGTCACTATTCTGAAGGCATTTATTGTTTTATATTCTACTAGATTTTCTATTTTTAATTTTTAAAAATATTATTTACTGTGTAAAGCTGCAGTTATAGTACCTGGCTTTGAATTCCAGTTCTGACATTTGCTAGCTGTGTGATCTTTGTCCAGTTCCTTGCCCTTTCTGTGTCTGTTTCCTTAGCTGTAGACGATGAGTAATAAAAAGAGATTATTAAATGAATTAATACACGTAAAGTGCTTAGAAGAATTACTAGCATACAGGCTGGGCATGGTGGCTCACACCTGTAATCCCAACACTTTGGGAGGCCAAGGTAAATGGATCACTTGAGTCCAGGAGTTTGAGACCAGCCTGGGCAACATGGCAAAATCTTGTTTCTACTAAAAATACAAAACTTAGCTAGGCTTGGTGGCACGCAACTGTGGTCCCAGGTACAGAGATCCAAGATGCCACTGTACTCCAGCTTGGGTGACAGAGAGAGAACCTGTCTCAAAAAAAAAAAAAAAAAAAAGAATTACTAGGACTAGCACATAGTTAGAGCTCAATAGGTGTACATTTTTTCCATTATTAATATTACCCTTATTGGCTGACAGCAGTGGCTCACGCTTTTAATCCCACCACTTTGGGAGGCAGAGGTGGGTGGATGGATCGCCTGAGGTAAGGAGTTCAAGACCAGGCAGGTCAAGATGATGAAACCCTGTCTCTAGTAAAAATACAAAAATTAGCTGGGTGTGGTGGTGCATGCCTGTAATCCCAGCTACTCAGGAGGCTGAGGTGAGAGAATTGCTTGAACCCGGGAGGCGGAGGTTGCAGTGAGCCAAGATTGCATCACTGCACTCCAGCCTGGGCAACAGAGTGAGACTCCATCTCAAACAAAAAACAAAACAAAACAAGCCTTATTGTTTTATTCTAATTTTTAGAGTAAAGGCAAAGTGGTATATTTTGAATTTTCTCTGTTCAGGACTACACCTGTAAATACTTTCAACGAATTGTGTCTGTAAAAAGGTGATCAGCTGTAAGTCCGCCTAGCTAGCCCTCTTTCATCTCTTTGATTATGACTTATCTATTTGCTTCCATCTCTTCTTCAAGAATAGAAAAAATCTCTATACTAATCTGACTTTCTTTCAACTTTCTTTGCACCCTGGAATAGCTTCTCTAACGTGATCTATCACCAATTTGATACCTACCTTGTCAGTTCTCTTCTTTATTGCATTAATCTGGTTTCGATTTTGGCGTGTGTTTTTAGTTTCCTTGTTAGTCTTTTTATATCATCTCTCTCTCTCTCTCTTTCACTCTATGTTATGGAATCATGTTGTTTATTTATCTTAACCTGTCCTCTCCTGACCGTCCAGTGCTCCTGGTTGACAGAGGCCTATTTTCCTGCATTCTCTTAAGGATGTGTCTTGACATTTTCTTCCAGTTGCTGTCACATGTCATTTTCAGCCAGTGTTCTTCCTCTGGATGCTCTTCTCCCTTGTACTTTAGGTTTGTATTTGTTTTGTATTTTTCTGTTTTACTGATGCTATTTCTCCATTTCTTATGTAATCATGCTGAAAGATGGAGTAATCCACCCAGACGTGCTTGCTCACCATGTAGACTTTTCCTGGCTTCAGTCAGCCCCTTTTTGATAATCAGCTCCTTCTGAGGCCCACAGTGGAAGGCTGGTGGAAACACGATGCTCCTACTTCAAGTCCACTTTCAGCTGCCGTTCCTCTGACAGCCCTGTGCGGCTCTCAAGGTGCCACCTCCTACCTGCTATGTGGGTTCTTAAGAAATCTGCGTTGTCAGAGAACAAAAAGCCTGAACGACTTTAGGGGATTCTGTGCTTTCTGCCTCTTGCCTACAGTGCTGACCTCCAGGAACCATATGTCCTAAGAGAAAACACAAGGTCACATGACTGCCCTGGCAGTCAGGGCTTTTTGCTTTTGCAGTTATTTCCTGGGACTCGATTTCTCTGAATGGACCTAGACAAATGGTCAGGAGGGAACAGAAAATCTGAATTCTGTCCTCCTCAGAAAGGACCGGGAAGCAACACCTGTCTGTGTTAGGATCCCCATAACTTTGATATCTGGCACCAACATAAACTCTTGGCCTTCAATCACAAATGAATCCCCAGCACTGTAAGGAGAGACTGATACCAGAAAGACAGGAGAAAGTGGCCTTGAGGAGGACAAGGGAGGCTTTTCTGGTGGAACCAACAAGCCACGCAAGACTGGAAGTTTTATCAGACTCTTTTCATCCCACACATCCATTTTTCAAATCTTGATTCTAGGTCGTTCATCTTTGTTCATTTCTGTTTCTTTTGCTGGGCTATCTTAATAGCGTCCTGGCCAGGCGTGGTGGCTCAAGCCTGTAATCCCAGCACTTTGGGAGGCAGAGGCGGGCGGATCACGTCAGGAGATGGAGACCATCCTGGCTAATACGGTGAAACTCCGTCTCTACTAAAAAAATACAAAAAATTAGCTGGACGTGGTGGCGGGCGCCTGTAGTCCCAGCTACTCGGGAGGCTGAGGCAGGAGAATGGCGTGAACCCGGGAGGCGGAGCTTGCAGTGAGCCGAGATCGCGCCACCGCACTCCAGCCTGGGCGACAGAGCGAGACTCCGTCTCAAAAAAAAAAGAAAAAAAAATAGCGTCCTAATTAACTTGGCTTGTTGTTTGATATTGGTTCTCTCTCCACCTTTCTTCCACTTAGTGCAAAGGAAATAACTCTAAAAATTTTAGATTATTTGGATAATCTAAAGCATTTATATATTCTCTTATAACATTCTTCAATAACCCCCCTTCCCCATACCAAACGGCTGAGAAGGGTATACAAGGTCTATCGTCTATCATTACATGGTTCCACCCTGATTTTCTTTTTTTTTCTTTTTTTTTTTTTTGAGATAGAGTCTCTCTCTGTCATCCAGGCTGGAGTGCAATGGTGTGATCTTGGCTCACTGTTGACCTCCATCTCCTGAGTTCAAGCTATTCTCCTGCCTCAGCCTCCCAAGTAGTTGGGATTACAGGTTATATGCCACCATGCCCGGCTAATTTTTGTAGTTTTAGTAGAGACGGGATTTCACCATGTTGGCCAGGCTGGTCTCAAACTCCTGACCTCAGGTGATCCACCCGCCTGGGCCTCCCAAAGTGCTGGGATTACAGGCGTGGGATTACAGGATTATACGGCACCTGGCCCGCCCCGATTTTCTATTCTTATGTCTTCCGAATGTTATATAATTATTTAGAGATTAGAAGTAGATGACTTACCAGAAAATGTACTGCTAAATAAATGAAAAAGAAACATGTTACAAGCAATTTGAAAATTTTGCATACGGGCAGTTTTTTAACAACTTTTAAGCACTTTCAAGCTTTTATCTGTAAAACTTTTCATCAGGTTTTTTTTTTTAATGTTTTCTATGCATGTACCTGGTCAGTTTACAATATTTATACTTAATTTTATATTTTCAGTTTTCTGCAAATACTTCTTTAGTCCATATTAAAACAATCGTGCCAATTTTAATTTCAAGTGATTCAATTATATTTTGAATGTTGTCTCTAACTTTACATAAACTCTCTGAAAACAAATAAGCCCTAAAATAAATATTTCAAACTCTTAATTCACATATTGATAACGACTATGCATTATAGGTTGTTGTCGTTTTTTTTTTTTTTTTACAGATTTAATTAGTTTGCATTTATTTTTAAATTCCTCATAATAAATAATACCTAATTTTTCTACTTGGTCATATTTTTACTTCAAAAAATACCATAGCATTGATATAACACTTTACATGAAGAATATATAGGAATACTTACAACCCGGATAAAAGAATAGTTAATATTTTCTATTTGTTAGTATTTGAGAAAATATTTTAAAATTTCAAAAAATATTAGAAAATTAAACAAAGTGGAAAAATTATCACTAGGATTTATTCTGAAATAAAACACTTTTTATTTAAGTTTATTTCAGAATAAAAAATAAGTTTTAATTCTGAAATAAAACTTATTTTTTATTCTGAAATCCCTATGTTTGGCTAAATATTTTTTGTAAATGGAAAATAGTTATAACTGGGTAGAATATAAAGTTAATGTATATAAAAATGGCAAAATAACTTAGAAAATTAACACCCCCCCAAAAAAATTTAGTAAGATCATATGCAGAAGATGTTGGTAACAATGTGAAACTACAAAAAAGTAGAGGAAAATAAACAGAACTGCCTACATAGGCAATTCTAAAAACAGATATGAATAATTACATGTTCACATACTTTGTGAAATTAATATTTGTCACACTATATGATCAAGTGACGAAGAGTGTCTAAAAATCTTTAGGTTGGATTGATATGTTGGATTTATTTGTCATCACATAATTTAAGCTCTCATCACCCATCTAAAACTGTATACACTTGCCCCTCCATATTGCCTCTAATGTTTGACTTTTCAGAGACAGCCACTCAAAACACCTTTCATAACCACCTATGTGACTTGACATATGTACATGTACACAGATATGTGAACTTCCTTTATATAAATGGGATAATAGTATATGCATTATTATCAGTTCAGCTTGTTTTTAACCTCTTTCTGTTTCAGAGCATATTAATATTCTTTTTATTTTTTCCATAGTATTACATAGTATAAATGTATCACATTTTATGTTTCTGTAATGTCTTTGTCTGTTTGTGGGTCTAAATTATAAAAATCAGAAGTGTATTTCTCACAGTTCTGGAGGCTGGGAAGTCCAGATCAAGATGGCCGCAGGTTTGGTGTCTGCTGAGGGCTGCTTTCTGCTTCCAAGATGGTCCCTTGTTGCTTCGTCCTCCAGAAGAGAGCAACACTATGTCTTCACATGGCAGAAGGGATGGAAGGGAGAAAACCCACTCTCTCAAGCCCTTTATAAGGTCCCTAATGTCATCTTCAAGGCTTCTTCCCTCATGACTTAATCACCTTCTAAAAGCCCCAGCTCTTAATACAATTACATGAATGGTTAAGTTTCAACACATGGATTTTGGGAGGCACATTCAGACCACAGCACCTAATGACTGCCATTAAGAATTTTCCCAGCTTTCCTATTTTACAGTGTTCCTGTTTCCTCTATTACATCATTGCAGCAAAGAATGTTCTTCAACATACATTTTTTGTGCACGTGCATTTTCAAAGATTGTTTTCCTAGAAGTGTTATTACTGATTTGAAGTTTATGCCCAGTTCAAATGGTGGCGAAGAGTCATTGAAAATAAACTAAAACGGCCAGGCGTGGTGGCTAACACATGTAGTCCAAGCACTTTGGGAGGCTGAGGTGGGTGGATCACTTGAGATCATGAGTTTGAAACCAGCCTGGCCAACATGATGAAACCCCGTGTTCACTAAAAACACAAAAATTAGCCAGTCATGGTGGGAGGCTGAGGCAAGAGAATTGCTTGAACTTGGGGGGCGGAGGTTGCAGTGAGGCAAGATTGTGCCATTGCAGTCTGCACTCCAGCCTGGATAAGAGTAAGACTCTGTCTCAAAAATAAATAAATAAATAATTAAATAATTAAATAAATAAAATAAAACATTAAATGTGTCCTTTCCTAATATTTTAAAATTACTGCCTCTCTTTAAAAGTGAATTTTCTATGTAATTCCAAGAATTATAACCACTTCGAAAAACTACGAGTAGGCTGGATGAGTATCTTCTTTTTCCTTTATAGTAAATGAATCATTTACTGTGATGTTGATATTTGATATGTGGTGTGTGGTGTATGTGTGTGTGGTATGTTTATAACTTGTGTCGGCACACATATACATGTGTTTCTTAGGTGGGAGCCCAGCAAAAGCAAATGGCACTCTTGACTTGGGTCATTTGAGGAGAGTTAAATGAACTACTGTTTACAGAGTCATGGATGGGGTTTAGGAGATTAAGCAGGATAGCACAATACCCTGGAAGGAGGCTTAAAGGACCAGGAAAGGGGGCACTTTGTGAATTTAGAGAGAGTAATTCTATAGAGTGGACTACCTGACGAGTGTGGTGGCCTTCCTTGAGGGGCACAGCCATCTCTGGATCTCCACAGGGAGAGAAGAGGGATACATAAGTGACTTGCACCCATCTTGCTCTGAGAGCTCCTGCTGTGGCCTCCTCTTGCTTAAACCTGTGTGAAAGGCAGAGAGTGATGCAGCTCATGGCTTATCTGTAATGATCTACCTCCTGGAGCAAATTCAGGGTGATAACCGGAGGAGTGGCATCTGGGGCAACAAATGAAAGAAAAATAACAGATGTGTTCTGAGTGTGTGCGTGTGTGTGTGTGTGTGTATGCAATATTAGTTTTTTTCCTTTGGCTTTAATAGCAGAATCACTTTTATAACAAAATGTTACAAAGAACAATAGATGAAACACAAAAACAAAGCTGTTTCGTTTGAGACAAAGGCAGGGAAGCCTGGGGCCCTACCTGAAGCACGTTCCCCTATCTTCCTGCAACCTGGATAATATAGTGTGAAAACTACTGCATTAGTGGGATATATTGTTACAGGAGCATGCAGTGAATGGAATATGGTACACCTTTACATCATCACCATGAAGAGTGTACAAACTAATCTAGCAGACATTTTTGTTTTTGAAACTGTGAACTGAAAAACAATCTAATAAGCCACTTGTGGCATTGTACTTCCTTGAACATTATAGACTCATAGAACACTACAGCTGAAAACGGCCTTCTACTGTAATATCATGGTATGATGAAGCCTTAATCATACATAAGATGAAAGCTCATACCTCTAAGGTACACTTGGTGAACGGTTTTATTATTATGGTTACATATAACAGCATGCTGACAAGGTATGCCATTTTTTTTGAAAGTTGTTGCTAATCAGAAGCAATAAATAGAGAAGTAATCAACTTGTGTACAAACATGCTTATGATGTAAATAAACTGCTACCCTATACACAGATCGAATAGTTTCTACTTTCATAAAATCTCTTAAGATGAAAAACCCTGGAAACTTCCCATTATGCACATTAATTATTATCTTACATATAGTATTTGCAGTTTCAAATACAATACCCATGTTATTTATTCCTGGGAAAGTAGCTAAAGTTGAACAAAAATGAAAACTCCTAGTAGTTAGTAAACTGTTTATTTATCTGTAACCTCAGGGAAATGTTGGCAATTTGGAAGTAGGAAAAGTGAAGCAAAATATATTGCTAAGTTAGCAGTTGCAACCTAAAACAATTCTTGCACCAAATACGTTCGTCCCTTTATGAGTTATTACGGCAATTGTGAAAGGCCTTTATTACTACTCTCTGAATTTTATTCTATATATCAACTCTGACTGTGTTGTGAACTGCGCGTGGCTGGCCTGTAGAGATCATGTGCCTTTAATAAATGTCAATATGATGACCTAAAAGAAATGGGATAGTCTCCATCTAAGACATTTTGCCCCTGCCACTTTGGTATCTACTTGCCTTTGCAAGGTCTCAGTTTCCTCTTTCCTCACATGACCTGCTGGGTAGTATGTGTGGCCACCAATAGGTGATGTAGATGAAACCTCTGTAAAGGAATGGCACACACGGATGGAGACTGTGAACAGTAAATCCTGAATATCTTTTGGAATAATCAAGATTTCAAATGAGTTTTTTTAAAAAGGGATTTTTTTAAAGTAGCTCTTATCTTACTTTTTCACCATGTGATGATAGTTTTGTGTATATGTGTGTGTGTGTGTGTGTGTGTGTGTTATACTCATCTGCTGTTTGTGCCCCTGCCAGTCCTCGAGCAAACTCTTGTTCCTGGCTTCCCTTTTTTTCTTACCAATGGTGCTTCTGATACTATTTATTCTTCTAGATCAGCACTGGCCAATATGGTAAAATATGAATTTTAAATTTAAGTTAATTGAAATGAAACATAATAAAAAAAATTCAGCCTCCGAAGCTGCACCAGCCACATTCCAAATGCCCCATAGCCCCATGTGCCTTGTGGCTCCTGTATTGGACAGAGCAGAGGTAGAAGGCTTCTATCATCACAGAAAGTTCTCTTGGATGGCACTTTTCTAGACCTCCACACTGGCAGTTTTCCTTATAGAAAAAACCATTGTCTCTTTCACGCTGTCAGTTACAAGACCTGACTCTTCTTTGATAATGTGTCTTTTTCTCCTCCATTCTTCCCACTTCCACTATCCCCATAAGGTTCACGTCCCACTACTCACCCTACGAATCATTGCTTCGTCTTACCTAATCTATTTCCTTCCAGCTCCCCTCCAGTCCAATCCCTTCTAGGTTCATTGCTGAGCTTCAATTAAAAATTCAAAAACAGTTGAAACAAGTTATCTCCCACATTGAACTCTATGGTCTTCAGAAACCTGCCCTTAACTTGGAATTCACACAAAAATAGAGCAGAAGAAGTTTCTTTAAATTTTTTCATCAATTTTAAACTTGAAGAAAACCGAGTAACTCACCAGTATTGTTACTTCTTTCATTTTTATTATTAGTTAAATTTCAAAACCTGTATCTTAATATACATAACATATGCTGTGCAATAAATTAATTCGTGATTAAATCCTCATATTTTACATTTGTTGCCTTGTATATAAAATGACCTTTGAAATAGTAATGTAGCACTAATTATGTTTTTCACTTGATGTAAAGTGCTTATAAACTACCTCACATAACTACAAATTAAACTACAGAGTAATACTTTGTATGTTGAATTCTTCTTTCCAAAAGCTCAGGGACCTTTAGAGAAATAATTTTATTAATCTTCACACATCTCTGAGATGAGATGGTTGGTTTTAATTATCCTTCCTTCTGCATTTGGGAAAGCTGTACGGATGGCATTTATCACTGAAGTATATAGGCACGGTACCAAGAATGCTATGTTAATACAGAGTAGCATAAAGCCTGGAAAACCATCTCTTTCATCAAATATACATTATTGTTGAACATTTCAGAAGTTCCAAGCCGGTAGGAAATGAGCTGCCTTCTGTTCTGTTCAGGGGTACCAAACACCTCACTTTATCTGTTCAATATTATAATATAGTGATCAGATCTCCAGGGACGTTAAGTCAGGGAATTTAGTACAGGACTTAAAAAATGTATGTACCTTCTGCATCTCTTCTCCTGGGTCCTCAGATCTGCCTTATTTTTACTTATGCTCAAATTAATATCACATCCATCTCTTTGTTCTAATTATAAATTTAAATTTAGGGCAACACAGACTACATAACCAACCTCTTCATTATTTTTCCATGAGCCTTGGTTCAGGAATGGAAAAAAAAACATAAATGCATATTAAAGAGAAGTTCCATTAGATAAATTAATAAAGGGATAACCCATCAGAGCAGACACTGCAAAGGTATTTTTATGTTTTTCTTCCCCCAAGGATTACACTAAATATTTCCAAGGAGTACACATATTTCCATTATATTTTCACTTCTTTTGAAGGTGTAGTCAGAGGTACAAAATAGCAAGACGAGAAATGAAACAGTTTGGGAACAGGTTGAATGGAGGTGGAATACTATAGGAAGTTTTTTTTTCTTTTCTTTTTTTTTTTTTTTTTTTTGAGACGGAGTCTTGCTCTGTCGCCCAGGGTGGAGTGCAGTGGCACGATCTCGGCTCACTGCAAGCTCCGCCTCCCAGGTTCATGCCATTCTCCTGCCTCAGCCTCCCGAGTAGCTGGGACTACAGGCGCCTGCCACCATGCCCAGCTAATTTTTCTTTTGTATTGTTTTTAGTAGAGACGGGGTTTCACCGTATTAGCCAGGATGGTCTTGATCTCCTGACCTCGTGATCTGCCTCCCTCGGCCTTCCAAAGTGCTGGGATTACAGGCATGAGCCACCGCGCCCAGCCAGGAATTTTTAAATTCTTCATATAGTGCACTAAGCCTATGAGAGCTGACAATTTATGGCATTTCCAAAGACACAGGCATGAATCTACTTAAAATAAAGCCTAACCCATGGGTTGACTTTAGCAACTGAGGAATAGAGAGAAGAGCACATAGTAGAATGAATTGGCTCACAAGAATTATTAGTAATGTTCACGTAAAGGCATGCAGAAGCTGTGCCTTACACACATGCATATACTTCATACAAACAAAAAGGCCAAATATATTGAAATATAATGTGCAGAAATAAAGGTATGTAGCTAAACATATCAATAAACAGTATTATTATCAAACATAGTAAAAGAGAGAAAATAAACCAAAGGTAGTCCACTGTTTTAAATGTAATTTTCCTAAATTAACATTGTTCGTGGAATTACATAGGGATCTATTTTAAAGAGATTTGTTAATATTTGAATATGAAAGAGTTAAGTGAATGCTTCACTTTTCTCTCAAGTTCTTCATTTTGCACTTTTTTCATTAGTAGCAGAGCACGAAGATAATGACGAACTAAGAGAATTCTGAATGAAGGTCTGAAATTTCAAGTTCTCAGCAACCTTTCCTGAGGTATGTCTTCCCCAAAGTTTGGTTGCTTTGACAGAGTCAGTGACACACACTTCTCTTCGATGACACTCCAGGACAAAGTGAGCAGCCTGTGGGCTAGGACTAGTCTGAAGAAATGAAAACAGGAGACAACTAAGCCATGGGTGGAGAAACCCAGTGAAAACAATCGTAAGTTATCACCAAGCTGAGGAAGGATGTTAAGACTTTGAGCTCATTCCAGCAACAATTCCCAAACTTAGTGTCTGGAAGCATTAAACATTTGTGATGTCTTAGTGGGTTAGGAATCTGGGAGCAGATTAGCTGGGTGCTTCTGGTTTAGGGTCTCTTAAGAGTTTGCAAGCAAAGGTGTTGGCTGGGGCTACACCTTTGGAGGATGCTCTTCTAAGCCCACTCACAAAGCTGCTAGAAGACCTCAAGGGCACTTACGTGGACCTCTCCACAAGGTTGATTCACAGCATGGCAACTGTTTCCTTCCAGAGCAAGTGACCCAAGAGAGAGCAGAACACAGCACCCAAGATAAAAGCCACTTTTTCTCTAGAGCCTCATCTTAAAAATGACTTCCCACCACCTCTGTCATATTCTATTTGTTAGACATTAATTAACATGTACAGCTGGCCCTCGAAGGGAGGAAATGGCACAAGAGTGTGAGTAGCACTGAGGTAGGTAGATTACTGGGGCCATTGTAGGTGCTACCTACCACAAGGACACTGTTGTTACTTTTGTATATTTTATGTCTGGTAACTCAAAATTTTCAGAGACCTCAAGGTACATGCTTTAAATTCAATCTGCACAGCAACTCTTTGAGGTCATCAGAGTGGTTCTTGGAGCTGGGTCATTTTGTATTCAAGCAAAATGGGACTCAGTGAGATTAAGTAACCTGCTTAATCACAACCAGTAGAAAATAAAAGTAGATTCAGGTTTTCTAACTCCAAGTTTTCCCATATTTTGAAGTTAAAGTTGATGCCATCCCATGAGATATTTTCAATCTAATGGGAAAAAAATGTGAAAATGAAGTGCTAAGTTGATTGTAGCTCAGGACTGGGGGGACAGGAGGTGGGGTGGAAAAAAGGATACAAGAGCTGGATGTGGAGGTTAGTGATTTATTTATTTTGAGTAAATCAGAAGGGAAAATCATTTTAAGTCTATCCTTAGAGATTTTACACAACAGGATGGAAATGTCAGAATTATGTCTTTAATACAATTAGATAATTTGGGGATATATAATGGAGAATGGCTTATACCAAGTAGCTAATCAGATACTTGTGGCATGATGAATTATGGTTTTGGAATTTTGTTTTGCAATCACACTTGTATGATGTTGTATTAATATTATGGATTTTGAATTGAATAATGGAGTTCAAATTGCAGTTGGGGACTCACAAGTGTCCTTTTCATTCTGTGTTTATAAATGATTGTTGCCTAAATAGCATACATCTTGTGGTGTCCTTTTGAAGTACCAAAGAATAGGGGCCTCTCTGAGTAGGGAAAACCACCATGATGCTTTGTGATATGAGGTTAGATGAGAGTTTCCCTGCCTTGGCACTAGCGACATTTTTGGCTGGATAACTATTTGTTGTGGGTGCTGTCCCATACATCATAAGATACTTGGCAGCCTCCCTGGCCTCTACTTATTAGATGCTAGTAACACCCCTGCACACACACACACACACACACACGTTTCAATGTATGTTGTTATTTTATTGCTGTGAATTTGCCACATGCCATCCTGCTGAGAATACTGGGCTTTATGTCAGTCTTAACTTCATTCATTACTCCTGCAATAAAGGAAGGGATATAGGTTAGATGTTGGAAAGTACTGTAAAAGCTGTGACCATTTGTAACCTCAAATGACTGCAGATGAGTCCTTCGGTCCAGACCTGCGGTTTGCTGGTTAGCTAGGCAATAACTGGAAGCGACAGGAGAACGATGCCAGCAGATGACTAATTATATGTGCATGTTTTGGATTTGGGCAGCATTTTATGAGAGGGAGGGCTCTTAGGAGGCCTATAATTAGGTTTCTTTTCTTGTTGCTAAAACTGATTCTGGAGAATGTGGCTTGGTGTGCAGCAAAGTGGGCTTTCTATTACTGAACTCTACTAATGACAGTCTCACCCACCCAGGACCCGGCAGCGTAGGATGCTGCTGGGGGTCAGTCCTATAAAACGATTGGCAAGGGAGAGCCAAGGAGAATGACTGCTTCCTGTGGGGAGTTACAAGAAAGGAGAGCGAGCTGGTAGAAAGTAGAGGGATGGGGAAGAAGCATTTCCTTTAATGCTTATCAACATTGTTATTCTCCTTCATGGAGATTTATTCTAACAATGTCATTTCCAAAATAAATTATATTTTCTTTCAGAGAGGTCCAAGAGTCAATCTCACGGGATTCCTCTAAAAAGTATAAGAGCAGTAGTAACCTGGGATCATGGTTCTGTGAGATGAATCAGGGTCCTGGAGTCCTCTGGTGAGAAATAAAGTAAATGGGTAATTAAACAGGCCTTTCATCTAAATCGGATTAATTGCCCAATGCAATTGGATTCTAGATGATTATAAGTGAAATGTGCACTTCTAAGAAATGGTCCTAAGGACATCAGTCCCAATAATATTACAACATTGGGAAAATATGATTTTTTTCAAGATAAAATAATTTGCTGCCCTCCCTTCCAGGAAAAACAAATGATGAGGATATCCGTGTAAACAAAAGTATGACATTCCCTGTGTGAAGCTGGAGGGACACAGTTAAAGGAAGAACTCGCGATTTGGGTCATAGAACATTCCTTTGAACAAAAAAGAACGTTGATCAACACACATGCCCCAGACTTGGAACAAAGTGAATTATTGAAACCAGGGGCAGATGTAGACCAGATAAAACACACCAGGCACCAACATGGAAGCAACATGAACTCTGCTCTGTAGCAGATGATACATCAAACTCAGAGCCGCTTTTTCAACCCAGTATGGCTCACGTATTTAAAGAGGGAATGATTAGGAATGAAATTTGCACTTGAATATATGTGGTCCTTATTAATCTTGGTCAAATCTGGGGAGCAAATCTTTTTCCAAATCCATTGAGCTAAAATCTAGGCAGCAAAATTTCTTCCATTTTCACAATTTCCTCCTCTTCCACCCCCCTACACATATGAGATACAGTGAAGTGACAGAATACAGGTAACCAAACAGACTCAAACATTCCATCTAGAAAATGGAATTACCTGAATGTGATTAAATTGTACAAAGTCTTAAATGTTACAATGAGTGTTCACCAGCCTCCTGAAATATATCAGGGCATAGTTCATAAATACAATGGTGGCCTTCTTCTTTTATGGTGGCCTACAAAAAAGAACATAGAAAAATGAATCACCTCTAAATATTTTGAAAACTGATTTGAAATCACCCGAAGAGTGAGCAAAAAGGAAGTAAGTACAAGGCCAAAAACAGCATAAAGAATTGAAAAGGGATGAAATTGTAGGAGTGAGGCAAGGAACTTCAGTTACAAACCAAAATACAGGGACAGTTGGAACAAATTGATCCTCTTTTCATTTAGAGAGGGATAGAGAAGTGTAGCAACCTAGTTGGAAGCTCACCATTCTGAGTTCCTGAGCAATGCCAGTCACCAGTGCTTTGGGAGGGCCAAAATTCTGTCTACAATCTGATCTTGGGTGTGTTAGGAATTCACAATTTATCCACAGAGGCTGGAGTGCAAGATTTCAACCTGTGCAAGTGTGTGAGAATGTGTGTGTGTGCACACGTATGTATACACACGTATGTGTGCATGTATATGTGCGTGTGTGTGGATATGATAGATTTTATGCATGTAACTTCTTACTCTAGAGTGACTCAGAGCATCATTTTCTGTATCAATCTTCTTTCTTACGTGTCTAATATATTCATTTTGGAATTAGCATTTGAAAAATATTTTATATACCAGGGATGTACTTTTTTGTAACCAGATTCATCAAATTCTGTTCCCAAATTTCCTATGAGAAAGCTTATAGGGGTCATGGAGGAATGAGACAAAGACTGAGCTGTGCTGATTCCCAGACCTTTGTGAACACTGTAAATTCAGACCAGTTTAATTATCAGCCAATTGGTTATTCTATCATTGCAATGAAGCATTTCTTTCTTATTCACTGAGCTAATACAACATTTCCCCCTTGTTGCTGTCTATGGTCCAGCCACAAATAACTAGATGGCACTATCACCCTAATTTACTTATAGGCAGAGTGATTTTTGCCAAAGAAGGTATTGCAAAAATTTCTGCTTTTGCTCCAAAATCTACCCTAATGATTTACAGATGATCTCTCATTTTGAGTTAGTTAAAATTGTTACCCATCTGAGTTTACTCGTGGCTTCAGGTTAAATCAAAGTTCCTTGAAAAAAGTGAAAACATTTTTAAAATTCCCATATTTCTAAATTTTGTTAAATGCCAACATGAGTTACTGAGGCCCCACTGTAAACAGCCAACATCTGGGATAACGTCAGGTAATCTGGAAAGGTCAAAACCCCCGAAATTTAATAAGAGGAATCTATACATTGGTATGTGTTCTCCTGCATTAGAACTCACTTTGACTTGACTTGTTAGCACGGGACGTTAAACATCTAGGGGAGGATAGAGAGGACAATGGAAGCCTTTCTCAATATAGATTGAAATCTTCCACAAGAAAGCTTGGCATGGGCTGACATTTGACTGACTTATATTTTTTAAGAACCAAAACAGAAGGAATCACTGCACCTCCATTTCACTACTTTTGCCACGGATGATGAAGATGAGGAAGAGGATGAAGAGGGTGATAGTGAAGGTGTAAGCTGTTACCTAAATGTATGCTCCATTAACTGTCAATTCACGACTTCTGTCTGTTGTGTTATGATTAATTGCCTGGCTTGGGTTAGCAGTAGGCTATCTCAAATGACTCCTCATGAATTCCAGGATTCCTTCTTATGAAATGTGATAAAATACCTTTAGCTAAGTTTCCTTCTTTTCCTTCAGAAAATACATGAAATCATAGATTGCAGCTTACCCACACACAAATAAAACTGGGGATAGAATCTGCTGATCAAAATCACACTAGAAACCTAGGTTGTATTACTCCAGAAAGCCCATGACCCCATTACTTACTTTCTCACTTGGAAAGAATTCCTGTGAAAGATGATCGGGAGGTATTTTCACAAATGCTGCATTTGATACACAATGATGGAATGATCTTCATTTAGCAACAGGAAAGGGACTGGAGAAAACTGGAAATTCATACTTAGCATTTTCTTCCTGGCCCAACAACAAAAACATCAATGTCTGTGTGTTGGATCTATACATAGGATCAACACCCTGGGCACGTCTGACTGCCTGTTACATTTATAATTTGCTTTACTTTTAAAACATTTTCTCCGTAGCAACATAGTATTCTGTGAGGTTGGCTTTCATGCGATTTCCATTTTGGAGCTGCCGGACTCTGGCTCCGAGAGTTTGGGGTGCCTGTGAACCACCCAGCTGGTAACGGTGATGTCACGCTTAGAGGCAGGACTAATGCTTAGTGCTTTTCCTCCCCCACAGGACCCCACTCATTGTCCTCTAATACTACAGGTATCTCATTATTGCCTGAAATTGCATCAATCCTTCCCTACACATGGGGGGAATGTCCAGGACAAAATGTAATATTGAAAAACATAAGACATGGGCCTGAGATTCATGAGCTAGAAGAGCACTTAAGCTTTTGCACTCTGCCTCCCTTCTAGGCTTTGTATGTTTTCAAGAGAATTCTCAGGAAGCATTTCTTTATGATTATTCAGTTAATGTTGATCTCTCAATCAAAAGGTAAATGGTACTCCCTGCAAGATCACATTTATGATTATAGCAAGAAAATGTGTGAGGAAATGTGCAATTTGAATTTACCTTTAGCCTAAAATACGTAGAATGTATGAAGTCTGAATTTCAAGATACATGGGGTATAGCACTACAAACTACAATCCACTGGACATGACCTCCAATGAACTTTGGAGATTTTGGAAGCAGTCAAAAGAACATAAGGGCCACGGGGTTCTACTTTTATTACAGCATTAGGTTGTTTGTTGCTTTTATTTCTCTACTTTGTTTTTCTGTACAGTGCAGTATGAGTCATTGCATTTCTCGTGGGAGAAAAGTCACTGTATTCATCACTTTTTGTCAAGCCGAAGCACAATAATAAAAGAAACATTCAAGGAAAGGAAAGTTTGGACGACTTTTGTCATGCAGCCAATGAGAATTGACAAATAGGGTGATGCGGAATTAAAACTTACGTCTAAAAGAACTATTAATATTCTTAGCTCCTCCAAGTCCTATTAACTAGGAAAATTTGGATTTAGAAAAGAAAAAAATAGAATTTAATGTAAACAAGTACTGAATGTATGAAGTCCTTTCCAAACATAATAGTCCCACAAATTGAGTAGTATTAGATGAATTATTAGTTGCAGGATATGTAGGGGAAATAGGTGAACTAGCTTAAATGGGAGTCTGAAGTAGAAGGTGATAAGATTAGTAGAGTCAGTTTTTTATGAATGTTCTTAGAAGGATTTTTAAATGTTTTTGAGTTCAATTCAACTAAGTGCTTGAGACGAGGGGTTAGGTGGTTTCCCTGGCAGCAGGCAGTGTACCAGTCCTTAGTGTGAAGTGGCACCAACTTGCCAGTTCCCGAAGTGGATCAGGAAATATCTCCACTTGCTCAGTTACAAGCCGAGACAAATGTGTGCTGTTAGTTCAGGTGCTCCTTATTAAGATTTATGAACGGCCGGGCGCGGTGGCTCACACCTGTAATCCCAGCACTTTGGGAGGCGAGGCGGGTGGATCATGAGGTCAGGAGATCGAGACCATCCTGGCTAACAAGGTGAAACCCCGTCTCTACTAAAAATACAAAAAAAAAAAATAGCCGGGCGCGGTGGCGGGCGCCTGTAGTCCCAGCTACTCGGGAGGCTGAGGCAGGAGAATGGCGTGAACCCGGGAAGCGGAGCTTGCAGTGAGCCGAGATCGCACCACTGCACTCCAGCCTGGGCTACAGAGCGAGACTCTGTCTAAAAAAAAAAAAAAAAAAAAAAAAAAAAAACATTTATGAACAAGTGCCTGCATTCTGTGGTGCCCCCAAGAGCGAAGAAATGACTGAAGGATCCTCATGGCATACCAAGGAGGCCATGCCAAGCTTTTGACCCCTGGAGCAGCATTCCTAGATGAGAATTTCCATCCTTTCCTTCAGCTGGGAGAAGAAAGCTTGAGACATCTGGTTCCTGATAGAATAGGGGATATGAAGAGAAGAAGCAATGAGCTTCCTAACTTCCCTACCTTTGGAAGACACAAGTGCTCTCCTATGTAGCCTGACTTGTTCTTCATCACCCCTATTAAAGCCCTGGGCCAGTGGATCTCAAAATGAAAATGTGGTCCTCCAACAGGCAGCAATACTATCAGCCAGGGACTTTTCTATCTGTGAGAGGGAACTGAAAGCCCTACTCCTTGAACCCAGACCTAGTTCCCACCAAAGCTGACCTTTTAACGCTTGAGCTTTACTGCCCCCTTGCACATGGGAGGCATAATTTCTGTGGCTTCTGTGTGCGTCTACAGTGCATGAAGTGCTGAGGCACAGAATACAGTAGGATTAGGAGGCGACACGAAGGCCTTCAGTTCATGTTGAGTCTCTGATTGCGATCTGGGGGTGGAGCATAGTCTAGTCTATAGAGGAGCTCGAGTCTGCACATCTGCACATTGTACAGGTGAGCCAGATGTGTGTGTCTCCTTACCAAGAGAGCCCCCTTCCAGCTAGGTACACATTGTGAGTCAGCCCAGGAGAAGGAATGAGGCTTTCAAATGCCACGGGCAGGCAGGTCAATCAGAAAGCACCTTAAGAGCAGCTCTCTGCATTGCAATGAAGAGATCAAGCAGTGGAAAAGGAAGGAAAATAAGATGGGGTTTCTGTTTTGAAATTGCATCTTAGACCAAGAATCATACTGCTCTTGTGGCTGAGGCACTACAGGTTAAATGATTTGCCCAAGGTCATATAGAAAGTCAATGGCAAGAATAGGCTCAACTCAGAATCCTGAAAGTCATAGTTTTTAAAAAGCAGCCCACAGTGGTTCAATTTCTTGAACAATTCCTGCATGTGAATTTGGCTGCTTGCATGCCCTGCCCTGGAAGATGTATTCTCATTGTGTGTTCACCCACGAACTCAGTATATAGGAAGTTGCCTCTTAGATGTGGGGTATTTTTGAACTGCACAGTTAAGAATTTTCCCAAGTCCATATCCATAAGGTGATCAGATTGTTGTAAGATGCTGCTTTAGTCTGTTTTGTGTCTCCATAACAGAATACCACAGACTGGGTAATTTGTAAAGAAAATAAATTTATTTCTCACAGTTCTGAGGTTGGGAAGTCCAATATCAAGGTGCTGGCATCTGGTGAAGACCTCTGTGCTGTGTCAGCCCGTGGTGGCAGGCTGATGGGCCAGTGAGTGTGAGAGAGCAAGATATGATACTCACAGCCTCCAGCCCTATTATAATGGGCATTAATCCATTCATGAAGGTGGAGCCCTCATGACCTAAACACCTCCCGTTAGGGTCCACCTCCCAACACTGTTGCATTTGGGATTAAGTTTCCAACACATGCTTTCTGGGGGACACATTCAAACCAGAGCAGATGCTGTTCTCTCATCTCTCAGGATTTGCTCTCACTTGGGCCATATGTTAAGGAAGCAACAGTTTAAAAAGAGAGCCCTCCTTCCCCCACCCACTCATACTTTCCCATCCTCACTTGGCCAGTAAAGAATAGCATAGCCTCTTATGTAGCCTCTTCAGTGTACAAGAAAGTTCCTCATAAAGGGCTGAAGAACTGAGCTGATTAGGTGAAAGGTGTTCAGGCAAATCGTCAGGAATTGTGTCCTTGCTTTCTGGAAACTGAAAGGGGCAGTGGGCAAGCCTTGATGAAAAGCTGCTGTGTTGAGTCTCATACGTCCACGTCCACCTGCAGGTCTGCCTAGGGGCAGCAGGCCTCTGAAAAACGATTGCTTAAGCTGCCCTGATTTCTGGGGTCCAAAAGTCTATGTCATTGCAAAGAGTCTGGATGGATTTCAAAAAGAAAGTACGTTCCACTTTATTTAGGATGGCTCTTTCAGCGTGGGTGTCTTTGCTGCTTCCGGCTGCATAAATTATTATTATAATGACATTCCCCCTGACCCAAACCCCTTGGTCTTGGCTCTGTGCACATGTGTAAATCTAACAAATGTCTGTACAGCTCTAATCGTCCTTTCCTCGTACTTACAGAGGATAGCATTTCTAAGTGGCTTTATTTTACATTATCCTCAGTGTTTTGTCAAAGAAGCAAAGGAGTCAAACGTGCCTGTGTTGAGTTGGAGACCTACGAACCCTCTGTGGTCCGGCTTCTATTTCTGAATAGACAGGGTCGTCGATAGGTGGACTTCATCTTTGAATATAATTGTGTGGGTTTTTTAAAATCTGTCTCTAATAAATATATAATCATAGAAAGTGTATTACTCAGGCAATTATTTAAATAGATTTACATCATAACATGTTTCTGGTGTTTCTAGCCTGTTTAACATTCAGAGTGATATGGACTATAAAATTATTTAAATCTAATGATTTGTTGTTTCAAAAAGTTGCTGTTGTTAGGTTGATAATGTCTCCTGAAAGAAAATAACAAATGAAACATTTCTCTTCCCTCCCTCTTTCCCCCATTAGTTAAAGCTAAGTTTTGTTAGGAGCTTTTAAAGATTGTTCTAAATAGATTTCAAATTCTGTTATTTCTTCCTCACCATTGGCATGGATTACAAACCTATCATCCTTGTCACTATAATTAACAGTGCTCACATTTATTAATTGACTATGGTTTTTAGTTTCCAACCCCACCCACACCCCTAAAACCTGCCTTGACAGGCTTTATGACTTAAAACATACACAAAGCTATATTCAGGATTTGTAGGCTAACAAATATTATAGAGACATGATATAAGTGAAATTAACATGGGAATTTTACCTTTGAAGAAGAAAAGACAACAATGCTTTAAAGGGCATATGCAGGCCTAAATAGCTTCTCTCTTCAAAAGGGTCAATGCTGTTTAGACTTTTCCACAACCATTTTATTGGCACATTTTTAAAATACAGGAGAAGAACCACATTGCCTGCATAATGATGGATGCTGAATTCAACCTCAGAGGAAAGTCAAGCTCTTCCTGGGAGGGTTGAATCAGGCTTCCTTGCTCTGTCTTTTCGTTTGCATTATTCAGTGGAAAAATACAAAGTGGCATAATGATGGGAATAAGTTATCTTTTATCAAATCTGACTTTAAAATTCAGGTTATGTAAAACACAGAAACGCATAGGAAATTCAATCAGAACCTCCAGTCACATTGTGTACTCTCTGTTCTTGGGCAACTGAACACTCCGCTGAGTCCATGCCTGGGAGCAAGTCTCAGATTCGCCCTTCCTGGCTAGAACACCTTTTGCCAGCAACTTCCACCAGGGGAAGCTCTGAGCACACCAGTGCTTCACAGGCAAACTGCGAAATTCAGGCAAGACAGGGCAAAGAAGGCAGCAGGGGAAGCTAACAAAAAGTCCTGAAATCGCTTTTGTAGAAACTAATGAGACTGGGTTTCTTTAGGATTATTACACTGTGATTTAACTACCAGTAGGGAATGTAGAGTGGAGTAAAGATGGAAACAGTATTTGGAACTAAAATCTTCCAGAACCTAACTTCTTTAATGGAGAAAACCCACTTGCTGTTTAAGAAGTGTAGTCCTTCAAGGAGCTGAAATCACTGTTTTGCTTCTTAATCCCTCATCTATAGGTTATTGAAAGCTACTCTCATTCATTCTAGTTCACCTTGGTTTTACACACACGCACACACACATACACACACACACTCCCATAAATGATAAATTCGATGTCTGTAGAAAGACAGTCACCTAATTGCACAGTGAAGCAGAAGAAAGCCTTGCAAATGGTATACAATTTTCAAAGTGTTCCAAGCCTTAGGCAAAAGCCTTTCAACTGTGTCTAAAACTGAATGATAAAATATGTTGTACAAATTATCTGTGAACAGGAAACATGTGGTAGTGGCAGAGGACTGAAATGTAACACTTGTAAAGAAATGGGAACTGCCAGTCATTTAGACCCTTTCTTTCTTTCTTTTTTCTTTTTCTTTTTTTTTTAAGTTGCAAGTTTCATCATTTTTTTTTTTACCCTCCGTTGATGTTCAAGTTTATAATAAGACACTTATCAGATTACACCGGGCCAATTGCAGCTTTATTTTAGAAACAACAACAAAAACCAAACAGATGAGGCTAAAGATTTGGTGTTGCCCATCCCCTCCCCCTTTGAGGGACTCCTTAAAAATTTCTCTGCTCTGTTGTTTCAGGAGCCCTGGTGATTTGTGTGTGGAATTTTTAAAAGGATGGAAAATCTCCTGAAATAGGAAGCATGCAAAGCTCAGGTGATTGCAAGTTGCATAAATGTTTCTCCATCCTTTATTTTCACAAAGGCGAAGGTGCTGGTTAATCTTCACTAAAGGGCAGAAGGGGTTCCACTGGGATGCTATCTGCTGTCTCCTCACACTCTGTGTTACTCTTGGAATGTCGTGTCAGAGTTTTTCTCTTTCCAAGATGCATCCATTCTTTCTCAGTGAAACCAGTCAAGATTGCCTATGATCCCTATTGAGGGAATTTGTGATTAACCCCTACTATGTATCACCTAGTCTCCTCAATCCTTGATGAACTCACACAAACTATATATATATTTCAAGCCGTATGCAGCTCTCTGAGGAAAGTTAAAGTGTTAGTAAATTTCATATTTAGAGAAAAAGGAAAAGAGAGAGAAGTCTGTTCTGCTACATTTGTTTTCTATCAGGAAGTTACTCAGCTTTCATCTCAGTGCTCAGTGGCACCCTTATTTTAGCTTGTCTTTTATCACATGACTGCTTGATGACCTTTAAATTAGCATGCTTACTATTCTGCCTGGTATACAGATCCGCCTTCTTATTACTGGGGCTGACCCTGGATGAAATGCCTTGGGATAGTCATCAAAAATGAAAGAGGAGAAAACAGTTTAATTTGCAGCCCAAACTCCATCACCAGCAAAAACAGTTAGTTGAAACAGTCTCCTCCTAGTGAACAAGCATGGGCATTAGACTGGCATAGTCTGCACAGTCAAATACATACCCCCCCATTCCTGGAGCTAGACATTACATCATCCTGCTCTGACATTGCAAATTGTTTCCTTCCTTCCTTCCCTCCCTCCCTCCCTCCCTCCCTCCCTCCTTTCCTTCCTTCCCTCCCTCCCTCCCTTACTCTTTCCCTTTATTCCTTCTCATCTTCCTCTTTTCTTTTAATTGCACAAATTATTCAACACTTCTTTTGTGTCAGTCACAGAAAGAAGCTGTGGTTTTGATGGTGAATACGGTATGGTCTATCTCAGGAGTTCTTGGTGTGGCGGGAAAACTGGAACAAATTCATAGAAGGAATCACAGCACCAGACTTCTCTCTCCCAATATGCCAGAGTGTGTGTCTTGCACTCTTCAAGACACAGTTATCACATTTTGGTGTTCTTGCAGTATTGCTTTGGAATGCCAATCTTTCCATCCAATTTCCCTGCATTTCAGCACGTTGCTCAGAGGGCATATGGTTCTCCTTCTTACCCTCTGTCTCATACAATCATTCCTACCTTTATAGCTTCCTAGTCTATTTTTTAAATCCTATTCTGCAATGTCTCCTTTTCCCTTTTAATTTAGCAAAGCTCCTCCACTTCTTGTAAGTTCATATTATGTAGGCATTTTTAATGAAACCTCTGCTAATACTGGTTGTTTCTCATTTAGAGTATTTACACATTTTGGTATACATTAGATATGTTTTTTTTTCTCTTCCACTGATCCTGTATCATTTCTCTTTTTACCACAAACAAGACTGAGAGCAAGAATTACATCATACACTACTTTTTTAAATAAACTCAATAGCATCTAATGATAATAGCAAACATCGGTTGAGTACTTACTGTCCCATAGGCAATGTGCTAAGCTCTTTCCACCTGTTATGCCATTTCATACTGATGATAATCTTATGATTTAGAGTATTACTACTTTCTACATTTTTTTTGGCAAGGAAATTGAAGAAGAGATTTTTAAAGCTAGCTTGTTAAACTGGCAAAGTAAATTTTAACCTACAGATCTTGGCTCCAGAGTCCATGCTCTCTTATGCCGAGCATCTAGGGAGTTTTCAATAAACATCTGCTCAAGTGAATTGAATGGGAGACAATTTGCAAATCTGAGAACAATTGAGAAGCCTGTTACAAGAATGCCTAGGGTGAATGAAGGGGATAGATAGTGAGTACATTTTTTTGCCATATGAATGGGTTTTGAGGTTCGGATGTATTTAACCTTCACCCATTACAGGGCATATTTTGCCACGCGGGCATGTGGAGGAATCTGGGAAAAGTGAAATACAGAAGGTAGGCAAATGGGCTTCATTATGGTTCTCTGGCTCAAAAAACAGCCAAGAAATGTAATAGAGGAGTTAGCCCATTTTTGTTGCAATGCATTTTTAAATGTATTTAAGAAATTTCCGGTGCTTCACAAATTCTGTTAACTTGTTGCTTAGATGTTTCCTACTGATGTCCTTCACTCCTTCCTTCTTTCTCTTCCTCCATCCTTCCTTACTGTGGCCATAGGACTAAATGATAGTTGTGCAATTCTGGGGATTGTACCAAAGTCAGAAACAGGACTTAAACCCCATTGTCACACACAGAATCGTTTTTGTTCGTTTGTTTGTTTTAGTGAAAACACTAAAGTATTACCACTGTTTTCCACAGTCAGATACAGAGAATGCTGTTATCCATGACATCAGAGCATTGGTAAATGGAGCAGGACATTATATAACCCTGCACCTGCAGGCCTGTTTCCATGGGCGAAGCCAAATTTATAACTGTGCCCTTTGTGATCTGATAATCTCAGAGAAAAGAATGACTCTTGAACTTTGCCCAGTGGTCATTCTATAGCTAGTTATATTATATTTTCATCTAGTCTGCATTTTCCTCTCATACATGGCTGTTGATAGCCTGAGGAGAAAGGCAGTAGATGTGTTATGATTAATTCGTAAACTATATAACATGATTACATTGTAAACAAACCCCTTGAAAGGTCCGGGTCCTTGCACCAGCCAAGAACATGTAAAGCCATCTGGTGCATACACCATAGAAGGTTTCCCCTAGTTAGAGGAGATAGTGACTGTTTCTTGCGGACTAGCAGAATGGAAGCAGCCATCCCCCTCTCCACTCCTACTCTGACCATTACTCTTTGGGTAATCAATCAATTTTCCACTGAACTCTCAAAAATCCTTTATTTTGCCACCCACATAGGGATTTACTTGGACTATTTAAGCATTTCTCACTCTGCGCCTTTCATTATCTGTAGTCATTTCTATCTCATGCCTTTAGGCATCTTCAATCCCCAGGCTATTTTCCTCATATCCCAGGCTCTCTGACTTCTCTTTTTAGCTTTTCTACCTTTGTATCCAGCCTAGTCCCTTGGACCACTTCATCTGCATCTCCATATAGCCTTAATGTCCTTGCTGTTCTCCCTTTCCGACTGAATGTACCCCCCACCCGATGCCAGACCAAATCCTCCTAGAGCTGCTGAGCAACTCTGAACAAAAGCACGTACCATTTGTATTCCCACATGCCCCTGGTCCATTCCAAGCCTCTTTGTTTCTCCTTAGACTTATTTTCCTCATCTCCATGCTTATTCCCAGCAGATTCTGAGCTTGTCTCTGGTTCCAGAAGAGAATGCTCAGGCTTGAGTTTTCTCAACCACACACCCACATACCTACCAACGTATTTATGTAGGTTTTCCTCAACTCTTCCCTCAGTAAGTTTCCTCTCCCTCTCTCCTTTGTTCTTTCTTCCCTTCTGTCCTACCTTTCTTTCCATCCTCCTTTTATCTCCAAATAAACAGAGAAAAACTGCTTTCTATTCTCTTCCTCATCTAACTTCCAGCCTAACTCCATCTCTTCTTGAGAGTCAATTTTTGCCTCCTTTCACACTTTTCTCTATCGATTTTCTCTTCTCTTTATAAAGGTTTTTTAACTTCCTCTTTTCTGCTACCCAATTTTTATCAGCATAGAAACATGCTCAAATATCTCCCATCAGTAAAAGTCTTATTCATATTGTACCTTCTTGCAGCCTTTGCCCTATTCCTCTCCTGCCCTTCATAGCCAGCCTGCTTAAGCAAGAAGTTGACACCAGCAGTGGCTACTATCTCACTTCTTTAATCTGCTGAAATCTGCTTTCTATCCTTGCACTCCTCTGGGACTGCTCTTTCTAATGCCAATCATTTCCAGATGCAGGATCCGGGGAACAATTTCCAATCCGCCTGCTCACCTGATAGCTTTGCAATATTTGGCATTGCTAGCTACTGTCCTTTTGAATTTCACAACTCCTCTTTTTGCTTTTAAGACACTAAGGTCCCATGGTTTTCCTTTTTCCTCTCTGATACTCCTTAATTTCCTTTATTGGCTACAGTTTCTCATACCACCACTAAATATTGGGAGTCACAAATACTCCCCTTAAATGTCTTTTCATGCTACACTCTCTCTGTACACCATTTCGTCTGCTTTATACCTTGTAAACAACAAAGTCTCCTGTTTATATCTTCAGGCCTGATTACTCTTCCTACATTAAGACCATGCCATTGACTTCTTACTCTATATTTTCACCTAGACAAACAAAGTTATCTTAATTATGGTATATTCAAACAGAATGCCTCCACTATTCCTTTCTTTGCCACCCACACAGTTGTCTGATCCAAATACAGAGGAACTATCCTAGGTTCCAACTCTTTCTGATACCTGAGAGCAACTTCATTGACAAATCTTATGATTTCCTGAGCTCCCTTGAATATATCTTCTCAGCTTCTCCATGATTGCCCTTGCTTAAATGGTTGCTTCTCACTTAGGGAGTGGCAAATGCCTCTTTTCTAGGCGCATCGCCATTAACCATACCATGAGCCTGCCATTCCTCTCTCCCTCTCACCATGTGTCCTCTGCTTCCTTCTGTTTCCTCCTACTGCATTCCTACTCAAGCATTGCTGTCTTTGGGATGCCTGTCATGACTTACTCAAGTTGTCATTCCTTTCTCTGTGATTTCATATTTCCCCTTATTCTAGTGGAACACTTTTATCACTTTGCATAATAAATACTTATTTACTTCTCCCTCCAAAACTAGACTGTGAGCTCCCGAAAGGCATGATTTTTTTGTTTATTGTTATGATGCAAACCATATTGTCAGCACCTGACTCGGTGCTTGGCACATGTTTTTGATAAATACAAGAAAGAATGAATAGCTTAAAATTTCCAAAGAGATTATACACCTCCTCATAGCTATCTGCCCCCATTGTTTTGCACTTATTTAGTTGGTGAACTGAAAGAGAGTGGGTCACTGCATAGTGGAAAGAACACTGATTAACCTTGAGGAAAACTAGGCTGGTCCTGGTAATTAGGTGTATGACCTTGGGCAAGAAATTGCTTCTCTAGGTTTGTGCTTTCTTATCTCTAAAATCAGAGAACAGGATTAGATGATAAAAAAAGGTACTGCCAGCTCTAAAAATATTATAACCTGAAATGCTTTCTTCTAAAATTCTAAACAAGGTGATTCTTAGTTTTAGATCCTTGGTTAAGATCCCAGAATGTATGCTTAGATTTTCTGTGAACCATGTGAAATTGTGTTCAAGGTTTTATTGTTGTTGTTACTTGCCGTAGAAGAGCCTATGAATTGATAAATAATATCCAGTCTCTTCTACTTTAGTAATAGAACATTTAAAGATTTAATTGATTGCATGGTCACTAAGACAGGTGTATTTTCCAGTCTTCTGTGAAGTTGGATGTGGCAAAGTGACAATGTTTTGAGTAAGCAAGTGACTGAAGGAGTGTGAGCCAAAGTGATGTGGGCATATTTTTTATAACCATGTACCTGTCCTCCATTTCCTATTCCTCTCTTTTCTTGGAATGGAGCATGAATATGATGATGTTGAACAGTTTTGTTTAAGAAATGCAATACTCCAGAAATTGACAGACCATTAAATCAGAGGGAACCTGGGTCCCTGAATGATCTTCTGTAGCTAAAGCTGTACCCCATCATCCCAGACTTTTCTGTAAAAGATAATTAACCCATCTATCTTGTTTTAGCCATGATTATGTTAGTTTCTCATAAAGCCTTGAGCCAATGTTGAACCCAGTATATTTGCATACCTGCATTTTTGGAAAGAGGGCCCATCGATTTCACCAAGTTTGCAAAAGATTCTGTGACCTCATGTGACAGATTAAGGATGGCACAAATTCATTGACAGATCTCCCACTGAGAAGTGAGTTTAGGTTCCTTCCCCTTGAACCTGAATAGATTCTGTGACTGCCTTGACCAATTGAACACAGTGTTAATAAAGTTGTGTCAGTTTCCAGCTCAAAGCCAAAAGAGAATGGTAGCTTCCTCTTCCTGTGTCTTGGAAAACTGGGTTTTGGAACCCCACCACCATGCTGTCAGGAAGCCCAAGCAGTCCATAGAGACATCTATGTGGAGAAGCTTCAAGGTGCTTTTATTATTCTTCTTCTTTAAAACTCACAACAATGCCATGAAGAATATATTAATGTCCTTATTCTACAGATGAGGAAAACTTGGCACAAAGCATTTCAGTAACTAATTTACCCAAGGCTACTATTGGGAAGTGGTAGATTTCACCCTTGAACCCTGCAACCTAACCCTAAGTCTTGCATGTTTCACCGTTATGCTATGCTGCTCAATAAGGTGCTACCATGTATCATAAAAAGTTGTAAAAAATTCAATTAGATTTGTTATTTAACAGTCTTTTTGCCACTGTACTTTAAGTATGGTAAGCTATTCTTCACACGTTTCATTTCTATTTTGTGGATATACATTGAAACTCACATCAAAATTTAAAATATTTAAAAGTATTTTATTGTGATCTACCCAAAAAGCACTGAGAAGTGCAGTTTTACAATTCTGCTAACAATTACCAAGGTCTTATTATTTTTCCCCCTTTCCTCCAAGTATATGTACTTTAAAGTATCTTGGTATTTGAATCATATTCTGCAGCACGCACCTCACATTCCCTATTTCTTAGAGGTGCATGCCTAACACTCCCATCCATAAGTTACCACTGCCTTTTCTGTACAAGAATCCAACTGTTCAATCTCTGCTCATATGCCTTCTTGAGATTCTGTTGGAACATGCCCAAGTATTGCCTGAACATGACCCCTTTGTGTGGATTCATGCACAGTTATATGCACAGCCAATCTGCCAGTCCGGACCGACAGCCTCACACCAAATCCTCCATTTCTCAGCAGGAATCCAGCAAACCAGATGTCAAGTGCATATTTCCTGAGTACTTTATGGGATCCACAGAGAGGTTCTCACAGTATGCTTCAGGCCTCAGTTTAGTGCAACTTGTCAGAATGAATTGTTTCATTTCTCTACCACAAATGCCAGGTTGAGAAGAAATTTTTAAAAGAAAATTCTGCATAAGGGTTTAGGCTTTCATATTCTTAATTAAAATCCCATGGACTTGTGGTTGGGATAAGGTCCTGGGGCTGGGGATGGGGAGTGCAAGAGACTTACTTCTTGAATGAGGTGGAAAGTAGGACAATATCCTCTGTCTCAGCATATTCAACCACAAGATGGGAGAAGAATTCCCTCCATGATCTTGAGGACATCCCCAAAGGGGGCTGAGAAGACTCATGACATTAGGACACAAGGCAGGGTTTCAAGAAGGGGTTCTTTCTCCTTAACCTAGAGAAATACAAACTTTAGCAAAAGGGCATTGGACATATTCTCATTTGTTCTCTGGATTTTTCTGACCTGGTGTTCCTCATTGGACCATACATGGCTATTTGCTTATTTCATAAATGCATGGTGGAATTCTTCTCCCTGAATAATTTGGTATCTACAAGTTAATCTTTCATGCAAAGGACACCTTTAGTGCATAATGGTTATAACTTGGTTTCTGCATCAGACAGAGTTGGGTAAGAACACTGAGTTTGCTACTCCTTAGTGAAGAGTCTTTGGGAAAGTCACAGACTCAGTTTTCACATGTATAGAGTGAGTGGACAGTGTGCATGTCATTCAGTATCATTGCCAGTTAACTGGAAGACTGTGTGTGCCGTGCTTAGCCAAGTCCTTCACAGAGTCAATACTCCATATATATTAGCTGTTATGTGTTGTTAATAATACTGTTGATATTGCAATTCTAGTAATTATTGTTGATTCTTACGCATTACAGCCCTTTCATCAACTATATTGCAAGATAGAGATCTTCTGATGACATGGAAGTTATCCACACATTCTGCTTTCTAAATTAATGGTGCCATATTTATTGTAGGTTCCCAGTTCCCTCTCAATGGAGTTATATGCATTTTCCACCATCACTGACTGTTGTTGTCCTTAACTTTTTAGTTCTTCATCTATTAGCCACAGTCTGACTTCTGCACCCTGTTCCACTTTTGACACTGAGTGACAATCTCATCTAACCTGTACAGATGGTCCCTGACCTTCCATGATTTAGCTTAGAATTTTTCAGTTTATGACCAGTTTGTTGGATTGTAACCCCATTGTATGTCAAGGAGTATCTGCATTTTTGAGCCAAGCTTGAGAAAACACACTATCTCAGTGGGTTCAGAGCCAGCAGCCACTGGCAGGATATTGACCAAGCTGTAGACTGAACATTTACACTTGGGTTATTCTTGGTGCCTACAAAGCCATTGCACAGTGGGCAGTGGTCACTTCTTTGGTTTGCCCTGTTCAAGTCCCTGAGATCCTTACTGTTACTGTATCCTTATCTCAAAATTCAGTTTATGTGGGTCTGGAACTTACTGGACAGTCTCCACCCAGGACACAACCCCTTTTATCCTTCAGACTGATATTCTAGAAGTGTATGACATTCTACAAGCCCACTTGACTGCAGACATCACCTACCCCCTCCTATACATATCCATATCCACTCTATCCTTCCTTTGAAGCTTTTTCACAAACTACTTATCAACTCCAATCTACTCCCCCAGCCTCCCTTAATTATTACAATCATCATTGATATTTTGCTTCTTATTATTTTCCTTAAGTATGCATTATATTTTTCTTTGTTTGAGACTTGACTCCTTTGAAGGTAGAGATCACCTCTGAGATTTCCCTGTATCTTCCACGTGTCAGCCCTGATGCACAATATCTGTTAATAGATAGATTGATTGAGTTACAGAATAAAGAAAGCACTTTCTATCTTTGCATAGCTAAAAATCGTGGAGACTGTCAAAAAGACAGTATGTTAGAGAATGTACATTTCAACTAAAGGAATCCTGACCTTAAAGTATTAAGGCTTTGGTTCAAATATCAGGTCTTTCTCCTACTCATCTGTTAATTTTGGAGTAGAATTTAACCTTTTTATTGTCAGTTTGCTCATTTTAAAAATACAGGTAATATATCTACTTACTTTTATTCTTGAGGACTGAATTCAATAATGTATGTGGAAATGCTTTGGAAAGTATTGTTATTACAGGGAATTTTATCTTTATAAGAAATAATGTCGCCGGACACAGTGGCTCATGCCTGTAATCCCAGCACTTTGAGAGGCCGAGGCAGATGGACCATGAGGTCAGGAGTTCAAGACCAGCTTGGCCAATATAGTGAAACCCCATCTCTACTAAAAATACAAAAATTAGCCATGGCGGGTGCCTGTAATCCCAGATACTTGGGAGGCTGAGGCTTGACCTGGGAGGCGGAGGTAGCAGTGACCTGAGATCACGCCACTGCACTCCAGCCTGGAAGACAAAGCAAGACTCTGTCTCAAAAAAAAAAAAAAAAAAAAAAGAAAGAAAGAAATAGTGTCAAGATGAATTTCTGGTTACCTTTTTATGATTACCACAATCCTTATATCATAACTACATAATATTTAGTTTTGAAGAAATGATTCCACTGCTGAGATCTGTGTACTGTTTCAGTCCTCATTTGCAGGTGTATTGTTGATTCAAAACTGTTAACTACTGGTGGCCTTTCCACTGGGAAGATGATCATGGCTGTTTTACTCATATGGTCACATTCAGATCCTGCATAGAAAGAGAAGTACTTATACAAGTTCCTGGCCTCAAACACTGAAATGGGAAAAAGAAAAATTCTTATAAAAGAAAAAAAAAAAGACAAGTAAGTACAATTCATTGGTTGTACTCAGATCAAACTGCTGCTCTCATGCACTTGAGTTGAGCTATCCCCTATTCCCTGTGGGTGGGCTCTGGGAGGCAGCCAAGAACACGGACACTGGTGATTTGGGAGCCCCTCAATGATATTGTAAACAAAAATGAAAGAGGCTGGTTTGACTTTGATTTTTCCCTTGAATCAGTTACTTTTTAAAAACCAATTACTTCTAGTGAATATTTGTCTTTCCTGTTCAGCAAATTATTTATTTAAATAGTTCTTAAGAAACAGCTCTTCGGAATTCTGTTTAGAAGGAATGCTTTGAACATCTAAGATTCCACGTTCCTTTATTAGTCATATGCTGCAATCCCTAATCAGATCTCTTTACACAGAGTCCTGTAGGCTCTCCGCTCAGGCAGTTCTCTTAAGAAATGATGAACTGCTCTATTGGCAGCCGCCACAGGGTGAGAAGCTCAATCAGTGTGCCACTTAACTGGCTTAAAAAAGAAAAAAACCACAGTTGGGCAAAGCCTTTGGTTAATATTATTGCTCAAGTAAAAATTTTATTACCCTCTGCAGAGTTCACAAAGAAGAGGCATTAGGCTGGCAAGCAGAGCTGGTGGGATTTACCTTTGACGTAGTGAGCTCCTTGAAGCTACAACAATGCCATATGCATCCTGTCACAGTGTCTGGTAGAAGGTACACAGTAGGTGCCTGCAAAATTAATGATTACATGGATTGAGTCCAGCCATGCATATGATATTTAGATCTTGTCTATGGCCCTCTTGCCAGCCAAACCCTTGTTCATTTTATTCTGGAGCACCTCCACTAACAGGGAACTCAACTCTGGATATAGTAACAAGGGCCGAGATGACTCAAGACAAAAGTGCTAGTTTTTTATCTTCCCATTCTTCCTTTTGCCTCCAGTGCATTCAGTTGCTAAAGGGGAAAGGTGCGAACAACTGAATACATAATTTTCCACAGTGTATTCAGTGGTTAGTACCTTTCCCCATCTTCTTAAACCAATGCTATCTAAAGGCTTTCTCCTTAACACATCCCTTGCCCTATCAAAGCCCACTCCCAAGAAACATTTTGAAAAATATTTCACTCTGACATATGTGCAGACAATGGTAGGTCAGAAGACTCTTTCCTCTTGGGGACATTCGTATTTTACCAGAGCCCAAATCTTTAAGTAAAAAAAACTCATTATTCACTATAAGTGAAATTTCAGGCTCCCATCAGTGGCTGGAAGAACATTCCTCTATCTCCCCTTGCCAGCTGCAAAGCCTTCTGGGAGCCTCATATCATCTCCCGTGGGCAGCTGTCTTGTGTCCCTGGGCAGAATCACTCTTCAAGAAAGCATCAGCAAGCATCACAGGAGGCTGAAGCACGAGAATCACTTATCTGTATAAGAAATAGTGTCAAGATGAATTGTTGTGTCCTCAAGGGTAGCAAGCTCTCCCTCATTCCTTCTCAGATATCTTGCATTACCCTATTTTACTAACGAAAAAATATTCTCTAATTTAAGCACAATGGCATATTTTATTTTCCTAATGAACTACTTTCTGTGATTTTGGACTATCCCATTGCTGAAATGTTTTATCTGATTTTTGATGCTCTAATGATCCCAATAAATTATAAACATTTTGCATTAAATGAACTCTTTTGTGGACACTCTAATCCGTCCTGAAGAAAGTCAGGTTGTCTCCTGAGTTTGAGGGGACGGCCAGCACTTTTAATGGAAAGTGGTTCTTATTGGAGCCAACCCTAGACCCAGGGCTGGCAAGCAGCAGAAGCTCTGAGCATATGCCCAGGTGATGAAGATTTGTAAACTAGGTCCTGATGGTGCCCCATACATCAGGAGGCACATTGCAGCCTGGGAAAAGAGTATGTTGATTTTTGCCCCCTCTCAAAGATCCGTAGAAAATGCTAACAGCACAAGAAAATGTGAGAATTAAAGGAAGAACATGCCTATCGCTCTTGTCGCCAGATTGGTTCTGGTAGGCATGACTTTCCCTTTGGAACCCGGTGGAGATCTTTTTCAATGGAGCTCTTGCATGAGACATGGAGGGGTCCTGCTTTTGTTTCCATGGAAAAAATTGCTGAACAAATGTATTTTATATACTGCTAGTTGCTCCCCATCATTGATACAAATATCCAGATAGCAAAGTAGCAGTGGAAACAGTAAAATGAATGCATGAATTTGGCAGCTTGGATATAAAGAACAGAGATTGTTTCAAAGGAGAAAAGACAGCCTGCAGATGATCAGGGCATGTATGTAGATGAGGGTAACAGCAAGGACGCAGGCACAAATATGAATAGAGGACGTGGGCGATCCAGCTGAGCAGAGGACACAGAGCCTCGGAGCCCCTTCTTACTTGAATATTTCAAGCGGAGGGAGGGGAGCAACATATTTCACTCCTTTGCATAGTAAGTGTCTGGGATCATTAGGACCCAAAGTAAAAAAAAGAAAATAATTTGACAAAATGCCCAGAGGCAAAACATGATATAAAGCATGACATTTTTCATGTATGTGTAGGCTTGTTTCAAAATGGGCATTGCTTCTGAAAAGGAGAGCTTTAAAAAAATGTAGATACTGAGTCAACTTTTAGCTCTCTCAGCTAATGAAATTGCAGGGGATAAGCAAGGAAAGCACTTTTTTTGAAAAAAGACAGAAAATCAAAAGTATTTATGTGTGGTGTTGAGAGCTATGTGTAAGTATGTGTGTGTGTACACAGATTTAGCATTCTGTGCATTTCTTGAGTTAATGTTAAAATAGATTTGCCTTTTATGAATACACTTCAGGAGAACTGGAGAGGTGCAATATTAGACCTGATTTCTAGTTTCCATGCCATTGCTACCTGGCTGTGTAATCCTGGAGACGTCTGATAACATCTCTTGGTGTCACTGACAAAATAAAGGAATTGGTCTTGATATCTTCTTGAGGTGTGCCTAAGCTATAAAAGGTAGTGATTTTGTTAGAGTGTTCAAGAATATGCCAAATCTGTCCTATGACAATGGAGCTACGTATATGTATTGGTGCTCGGGGGGACAGATGGAAGACATAAGAAGAGAGAGATAAAAATAACCCAGTAAGGAAAAGAAAGATGAATGTTTGGGGGCAGAAAAGGTGGATCATTGAGCACAGAAGTGAATACTGCAGGTAGGCTTAATGATCTCTGCTGTAGCTATTGATTCATTTCAAGCATCTCTATCAAAGGGCTGGGACATGATATGAGCAGGGATTCTATGTCTGCCCTCAGAAGCCCACTCCAGTGCAGTGGAGGTGGCTGTGGGCACTGCAGGCTTAGTCCCAGCTTTGGCTGATCCCACCCTGGTTGTCTGAATCACAGTGTGAGACCAGTTCCCTTGCCCTGCTGGGATAATCAGTCCCTCT
This sequence comes from Homo sapiens, assembly GCF_000001405.40. NCBI lineage: Eukaryota > Metazoa > Chordata > Mammalia > Primates > Hominidae > Homo > Homo sapiens. The sequence goes on from NC_000002.12 coordinate 102,990,312, forward strand.
CAATCATGGGTCCCAGTAGAGCCCCATATGCTGGAGTGGCCCAAGTGATGGGCAAGGAGGGAAGGAGGTGGTCCCTAAGAATGAGAGAAAGTGACCAGGTAGGCAGAAGTAAAGTTACCATTGAAAGTAAGAATGGTAAAGTTACCATTGAAAGAAAGAAAGTTTTTTTTTTTAAAGTATAATAAGTCCAATATTTTGCAAATAGAAAGACTGTCTTTTAATTTTCCTCTTCCCATGGTTTCCTCATTACTGTCCACAGCCAAGGCTGAATCTTGAAGCTCCTGGCATGAGCAGCAGCCTGGAGGACAAGCCCGTTGCTCATTATGTCTCAAAGCTCACTTTCTCAAATTTCTCAGAAAGTGATGATTTTAAAAGCCAGTTTTGTGGGGAGAGGAAGGGATTTCTAAATGACAAAAACCTACACAAAGAGGAAGAACTGATGGATTCTGTCTTTGAATTTGACCATGTGTCAAGGACAGAGGGAACTCAGAATAGACTGTGAGCAGGGAAGCCTTCCACTTCCTTTCAGGAAATAGGAAGATGCAGAGATTAGGGGTGAAAAGTAGCGCCTAGGTGGACCTGTCATCTCTCCTCGCTGAGTTGCTTATAAGTTGCAGAGTTTTGCATGTGCACCCAAGGGAGGAGGGGACATTTGTCTGTGATCTTGACTAGGAAGGTGGGATAGAAGAATGTCACAGCAAAGTAGAAACTGACTGGGAGTTGAGGGCTGTGGGGTGGGCCATTTAGCAGGGACAGCTGAGGTACTAAATTCCTTCCATAATATGATATGTAATGAACCACAGTGTATTCAGGTGTAAGGAAGTGCCATATTTTATTCAAGAAATTCTTTATTCTTATGCATTAGGATATTTCCAGTTTCTTCACAAAATTACACTTTAGATCAAGAACACAAAGCCAATACTTGAAAACTTAATTTTCTGTCTTTGTTATCAGTGAAGTAGAATTACTTCATTGGAGAGTGATGGCTCTGTGGCCTAGACCAATGGAACACAAAAACGAAACTAAACAACACAAATTAGACCTGCTGAATCAGAACCGTGGATGATGGGAGCTGCCCTGTTGGTGAGAATGTAAATTAGTACAATCGCTATGGAAAACAGTATGGAGATTTTTCAAAGAACTAAAAATACAACTACTGCTCAATCCAGCAATCCCTCTACTAGTTATCTACCCAAAGGAACAGAAATCATTATGTCAAAACGATACCTGCACTTGTATATTTATTGCAGCACTATGCACAATAGCAGAGTCATGGATTCAATCTAAGTGTCCATCAATGGATAACTGGATAAAGAAATGATATATATCCATATCTATATATACTATATACCATCAAAAAGAATGAAATTATGTCTCTTGCGCCAACATGGATAGAATTAGAGGCCATGATCTTAAGTGAAATAACTCAGAAATAGAAAGTCAAAAACTGTTGCTCTCACCTGTAAGTGGGAGTTAAATAATGTGTACACCTAGACACAGAGAATGGAATGATAGATACTGGAGACTCAGAAAGGTAAGTCAGTGGGAGGTGAGTGAGGGATGAGAAATTATCTAATGGGGACAATGTGCATGATTCAGGTGATGGATACCCTAAAAATCCAGACTCCACCACCACACAATATATTCATGCAAGAAAACTGCACTTGTACCCCCTAAATCTATAAAAATAAAAGAAAATAAATGTAAAAAATTACAATAAATTAACAGTCTCCATAGATAATTCTGGTGGACATCCAGCTTTAAGAACCTTTTACTAATGAGGCCATGGAGACATTGTTTTCTATTTATGAATTTAAGAATCATTTTGTTTCTAAGTCTCTTGTCCTTTGGTTATAATTCTAGTTAAAGTTCTGAACTCCACTAAAGAACAAACAATAACAACAAAAAATGCAAGCTTGCTGATGTTTGCTTAGAAGCATGAGTTTTCCCCTAGCCTTGTCACAAAACACAAGTTGAGTTTATGTTCAAACAAGGAGGATGATAGTTGAGTTTGTGAGCTTTATTCTACTGGGTTTATGGGGAGATGCTTATTATTTTCTCTGCGCAGTTACATATCCAATTTAGCACCAAGAAGCATCTCAGTGAGAGTGGGCATCATTGCTCACGCTGGATTCCATAGAACACTTGTGTACCAAGAAAGAAAGTAAAATATTTGAGTGTCAAAATAAATTTGTGACTGGACATGGTGGCTCATGCCTGTAATGCCAGTGCTTTCGGAGGCCAAGGCAGGCAAATCACTTGAGGCCAGGAATTTGAGACCAGCCTGGCCAACATCTCAAAACCCCAACTCTACTAAAAATATAAAAATTAGCAGGACATGGTGGTGAGTGCCTGTAGTCCCAGCTGCTGAGGGGGCTGAGGTGGAAGAATCGCTTGAACCCAGGAGGCGGAGGTTGCAGCGCCACTACACTCCAACCTAGGCGACAGAGTGAGACTTCGTCTCAAAATAAATAAATAAATAAATAAATAAATTAATTAATTAATTAATTAACTTGTAAAATGAAGTAAGTATTCTCCCATGAGGTTCATAATTGGTAATAGAAATGCTTAAGGTGATGAAAACTCCTATAGGGTAAAGAATTGTTTAGCTCATTTTTCTGACAAAATTGAACCTTTTATTTTAACAATTTGTGGGACACTGATGTATTATGGAATACCATGATGTGGGAAATGCTAACCTGTGACATGCCACAGAAAAGCCTTCATAAATAGCTCTCTGGTTATGGCAGAAAGAAAATGGGCTTTACTTTAACTCCAGCTGTATAAATTGGTTCTAATACTTCATTCCAGCGACACCAAAAATAAACCACTTAATTTTCCCAAGCTTCAATTTCTTCACTTTTAAGATAGGGGCAATATGAGGACCAAGGGAATTAATGTAGCTGCAGTCAGTGAGGTGTCTGCCATGGAGGAGATATTGCATTGGTGTTGGTCAAGCTTACCTTGGGTTCTCTGTCCTTGGCAGAATTTTTATAAGAGCAGCTGAATGTGTCCCATGTAATCAAGTACAAGGCCAACTCATTTGCATGCCTTGGCAGCAAATCAGTCAGGCTCTTGTTTAATGATCTGAGCTTACCCTCCTAATATATGAGCCCACCATGTCTCTAAGCTCCTGCAAGGTAGATTCCATGCTTCACTCATCATTAAACCCCCAATACGGAGCCACCATTGTCTGCTTGAAGCTGTGCCATGGTATAGCGCTGATTCAAACATGGCGATATATAGTAGGAATTGGTATTTGCTATCCCTTTTTGTTACAGTCTTATCTTGGCCATTCTAGTTAAATATCTGGGGTTCTTCCCTCTTGATAGAGGCCCTTCTCCAGACCCATAAGCAAGAGTGGATGAGGGCTGGCTGGTAGGGACTTCAAGTTAGACAAGACATTCTTGCAGGAGACAGGGGTCCACCGTTCCACAACATGGCAGCATCTGCTCCCAACAATTTGCAACTACGTGTGCAGTTTTATGCTTGCAGAACTGAAATCAAATGTAAAACATCATATTTCCTGGCACTGTGGGAAAACTGCATTTGCAGTGAATAGTCCTAAAAACACAAGAAATGAGGATGCAGAGTGGGGCCCTGCCACCCACTGACTGGCTCACATGGGTGGGTTCCTGCTGTACATTTCACTTTCTTTATCTCTTTTATTCTTCACAGCATCTTGTGAAATAGGTGCTATTGTCTTCCTGTTAGATGATGCTGAGTATTTAAGTGAAGTGCCAAGCATATTGTATAGATATGTCTTCAGTAAAATGAAACCGATAGATTTTTGCCCCTAGAGGAAGAGATACGCTCAGATCAATTTAGCCACTTGCCCAAGGTCATGGAGTAAAACCAAAATTTAAACCTGGTATTTTGACTCAAAGATCTATGCAGTTTCTGCTCTAATATATGATCTTCCAGAATAGACACAGAAAGGCTTTGTTTGCTGTGGTATAAAGCTATTCTTTCTCACTCTATCTTTTGTTTTAACCTTTTAAAACTAAAATACAACATAAATATAGAAATATGAAATAATCACAGATACATCTTAATGATTTATTATACAACTAATACTGATAAACCCCCACTCTGTTTCTGAATGAGAGCATTTCTCCACTCCAGAAACCTTCCTCATGAATCTCCCAGGCCCACCCAGAGAAAGGGTAGCCACTCAGTGAGTAACCATCTTTGCTTTTCTTCAGTTTGTCTGTTCCTCCAACCACCATAGTTTAGTTTTGCCTCCTTTAGGAGACTTATATTAATGGATGACACAGAACTTATTGTTTGGCGTTTTACTTCTTTCCATCAAACAATTTGCTCATGAGATTCATTCAAGGTATTATATTCATTCATCCTATTTCATTACTGTATGATGACCAGTCATCCCAGTTTTCCCAGAACCAGACTGTTTATTCATCCATTTACCTGCTGAAGGGCATCTTGATTGTTTCTATGTTTTAGCAATTATGAATAAAGCTTCTATAGACACAATGTGCAGGTTTCTGTGTGGACGTGTTTCCACCTCCTTTGATAACGACCAAGGAATTCAGTTGCTGGATTGTATGGTAAGAATATATTTAGTTTTGTAAGAAACTTCCAAACTGTCTTCCAAAGTGACTGTATCATGTTGTGTTCCCACAAGCAATGAATAAGAGTTCCTGTTGCACCACATCCTCACCAGCATTTCGTTCTGGATTTTGGCTTTACTAATAGGTGTTTAATGATGCTTCATTGTTGTTTTAGTTTGCATTTCCCTGATGATACAGAATGTGGAGCTTCTTTTCCTAGGCGTGTTTGTCATCTGTATATCTTCTTTGTTGAAGTGTCTGTTAAAGTCTTTGACCGATTTTTCAATCAGGTTGTCTGTGTTCTTATTGTTGAGTTTTAAATGTTCTTTGTGTATTTTGGGTAGCAATCTTTTAGCAGATATGCACTTTACAAATATTTTCTCCTATCTGTGGCTTGTACTCTATTTTCCTGACATTGTTTTTCATCGAGCGAATGTTTTTAGTTTTAATGAAGTCCAGCTTATTAGTACCTTTATTGTTGTATTTAAAAAGTAATCGAGATATCCGAGGTCAGCTAGATTTTCTCCTATGTTATTTTTCAGAAGTTTTATAGTTTTGCATTTTTACCTTTAGATTTATGATCAATTTTGATTAAGATGTTGTGAAAAAAAATTGTAGACAATTGATATAAATTCTTCTTTAAGTATTTGATAGAATTCCCCAGTGAACCCATTTGGGCCTGACCCTTTCTGTTTTAGAAGGTAATTAATTAATTTTTTTTACAAAATATAGGCCTATTCATATTGTCTATTTTTGTGTGAGTTTAGACATCTTGTGTGTTTCAAGAAATTCTTTTGTTTCACCTAGATTTTCACATTTGCGGGCATAGAGTTGTTAACAGTACTCTTTGATTACCTTTATATGTCCATGGGACATGTAGTAATGTCTGCTCTTTAATTTCTGATATTAGTAATTTGTATTCTCTCACTTCATTTCTTAGCCTGGCTAAAGGCTTATCAATTTATTGCTCTTTTCAAATAAACAGCTGTTGGTTTTATTAATTTTCTCTATTGTCTTCCTGTTTTAAATTTATTTCCAGTCTAATTTTTATTATTTCTTTTACGGCTTACTTTAAATTTAATTTACTCTTCTTTTTCTAGTTTCTGAAGGTGAAAGCTTAGAAGAATGATTTTAGATTTTTCTCATGTATGCATTCAATGCTATAAATTTACCTCTAAGCAGTGCATTCCCTGCATCCCACATATTCCAACAAATTATATTTTCATTTTCATCTAGTTCAAAATATTTTAAAATATCTCTTGATAGTCTCCATTGACTTCTGTGTTACTTAGAAGTATGTTATTAAATTTCCAAGTATTTTGGGATATTTCAGCTCTCTTTGTGTTATTGATATTTAGATTAATTCTATTTTGGTTTGAGAGCAAACATTGTATGGTTTCTATTTTTTTGAACTGATTATGATTGTTTTATGGCTCAGAATGTGGTCTGTCTTTGTGACTATTCCATGTGAGCTTAAAAGAATGGATTTTCTGCTGTTGTTGAATGAAATGGTCTATAAATGTCAATTATATTCAGTTGATGGTGCTAGAAAGTTGAGCTATGTTCTTTATGATCTTCTGGCCTTGAAATATCCCCATTTCTGATACAGGGAGGTTTAAGTCTTTAACTATGATTGTGGATTAATGTTTCTTCCTAACGTTCTGTGTCCTGTACTTTGATGCTCTGTTAGTAGGCAAATACACATTAAGAACTGGTATGTCTTCTTGGAGTATTGACCCCTTTATCATTATATAAAGCCCTTCTTTTTCCCTAACTAATTTCTTTGCCATGAAACCTACTCAGTCTGAAATTACATAAAGTGGGTTTCTTGTCAACAACATATAGAAAATAAGTTGAATCTTGTTTTTTGATCCACTCTGACAATCTTTGTCTTTCAAATCGTGTATTCAGAACATTGATGTTTAAGATGATTATTGATATAGTTGGATTAATATTTGTAATAGTTGTTATTTTTCTCTATTTGTTGCCCTCAGTTTTGTTCCTATTTTTGTCTTCCACACTTTTTCTGCCTATTGTGGTTTCATTTGAGCATTTTATATGATATTTCCTCTGCTTTTTTTAATCATATTATATATATACACACATATATGTGTGTATATGTGTGTGTATGTGTGTGTGTGTCTATGTGTATATACATGTATATATAATTTACTTTTTGCGGGTTGTTGCCCTATATTTTGCAACATACATTAACAACAAATCCAAGTCTACTTTCAAATAACAATGTACCATTTCACAGGTAGAGCAATTATATATAATAACAAAATACTCCTAATTCCCTTCTTTGTGCCCTGTGTCATTGCTTTCCTTCATTTCCCTTATATATAGGCATATATGTATATATTCTCATGCATCACATAATGACATTTTGGTTAATAACAGACTGCATGTATGATGGTGATCCCATGAGAATATAATACCATATTTTTGCTGTACCTTTTCCACATTTGGATATATTTAGATACACACATACTTACCATTGTGTTACAATTGCCTACATTATTCAGTACTATGCTGTACAGGTTGGTAGCCTAGGAGCAATAGGCAATATCATATAGCCCAGGTGTATAGTAGGCGGTACCATCTAGATTTGTATAAATACATTCTATGATATTTACATAATGATGAAATCAACTAAGAACACAGTTCTCAAGATGTATCCCTGTCGTTATGTGACACATAATGACACATATGCCTCTGTGTGTGTGTATATATACATATAGTTACATACATATATGTATACACATGCATATATATACTAAATATTCTAATACATTATTGTTTCTATTTTGAAAAAAATGTTGTCTGTTATATCAATTAATAATAAAAAATGTTTTTATTTTACCTTCACTTATTCATTCTCTGATGTTCTTTCTTTTTAAATTTACATCAGTTTCTTTTTTATATCATCTTCCTCTTCTTTGAAGTTTTGTTTAATATTTATTGCAAGGCAGGTCTACTAGCAAAAAATTTGCCGCATGTTTGTTTGTCTAACAAAGTATTTGTCCTTCATTTTACAGTATAAGTTCATACAGTACAGAATTCTAGGTTGGTGAGTTTTTTTCTTTTCATGCGTTAAGTGTTTCTCTCCACTGTTGTCTTATTTGCATGGTTTTTGAGAAGTCAGACATAATTCTAATCCTTGCTTCTCTATAGGTAAAATGTTTTGTTTTGTTTTACGCTTCATATTATCTGAGTTCCTGGACCTGTGGTTTTCCGTCTGTTATTAATTTGGGAAAATTGTGCCTTTGGGGGAATTTGTTGAGCTTATGGGATCACTGTCATACATGTAGGCTGTCTTTGACCACAATGTCATTTTGTGATGCATAGGTGTAAATATATATGCTTATATGTAAGTGAAATGAATAAAAGCAATGATCCAGGGACAAAAGGAGGAATGAGGAATATTTTGTCATTATTGCTTTAAATGTTGCTTCCCTTTCTTTCTCTCTTAATTCTTTTTCTGGTGTTCCCATGAGTCATTTGCTACATGTTTCGTAGCTGCTCTGCAATTCTTAGATACTCTGACTTTTTGTTTTTCCCCTCTTTTTCTCAGTATTGTAAGTTTCCATTGTGATGTCCTCAAGCTCAGAGTTTCTTTCCTTACCTGTGTTTATTCTACTTATAAACTCATCAAAAGCTTTATTTTTGTTACAGTGTTTTTGATCTCTAGCATTTGTTTTTTATTGGCATGTCTCTGCTTACCTTATCCATCTGTTCTTTCATGTTGTCTACTTTTTCCATGAAAGCCCTTAGCATGTTAACCATAACTTAACAAAATTCCTGGTTTGCTAGTTCTGACATTCCTGCTGTATCTGACTCTTGTTCTGATGCTTGTTCACGCTGTTCAACTGAATTCATTATCTTTTAATATGCCTTGTAATTTTCTGTTGAAAGATGGACATTAAATACTTGATAAAAGAAGAATAGGCATTTAGCAATATAGTGGTAAGGTGTGTGAGAGGGGAAGTGTTTTACGGTCCTATGATTAGGTTTCAGTCTTTTCATAAGGCTCTGTCTCTGGACTGTGATTTTCACAAGTTCTTCTCAGTTCTCTCCCATCCTTAGGTGGGACAGGATGGCTAGTGGGGCCTGGAGTTTGACATTTCCCTTTCCCCAAGTAAGTTAGGTTCTAACAAAACTCCAGAAAGTTTGGTTCTGACTGAGTAGTTTCTGCTGAGGGCATATCTTGTTAAGGAGCACAGTATGCTCTGGGGCAGGGACCCCCAACCACTGGGCTGTGGAGTGGTACCAGTCCGTGGCCTGTTGGGAACTGGGCTGCACAGCAAGAGGTGAGTGGCAGGCAAGGGAGTATTACTGCCTGAGCTTTGCCTCCTGTCAGATCAGCAGCAACATTAGATTCTCCTAAGACTGCAAACTCTATTGTGAACTGCTCATGTGAGGGATCTAGGATGTGCGCTCCTTATGAGAATCTAATGCCTGATGATCTGAGGTGGAACAGTGTCATCCCGAAACCATCCCCACACCTCATCTGTGGAAAAATTGTCTTCCACAAAACCAGTAGGTGCCAGAAAGGTTGGGGACTGCTGCCCTGGGGTGTTCAAAAATGGTTACTTTACCTCTGCTCCTGCTAGAATCCTGAGAAGATTTTTCTCTGATATTCACAATGAGAATTTGATGGTGTCTCAGGAGATAAAACCCACAAAAGTGTGGGAGCCCCACATGATTTTGTTTTAATTAAGAAAATTTTAATTTAGACAAATTTAGGAAGAGAATACCACCTGGATGTATTCTGTGCTACTGCCAAGGTTATAGAGAAAAACAGTAGAGGTTGATAATGTCCACGTACCATTCCGAAATCCCTGATTATTAGAGTAGTGAGAACTGGGATGGAATTTTAAAATCTTTTTAAAAAATTTAAGATTAAGAAAAGAAAATTTTAAGAGGCAGGGTCTTCCTCTGCCACCCAAGCTGGAGTGCAATGGCATGATCATAGCTCACTGCAACCTCAAACTCCTGGGTTAAGGAGATCCTCTTGCTTCTGCTCCCCGTAGTAGCAGGGATTACAGGTACATGCCAGTATGTCAGCTTAAAGAAAAAAAAAAAGTGCAGAGACAGGCTTTCACTTTGTTGCCCGGGCTGGTCTGGAACTCCTGGCTTCAAGCAATCCTGCCTTAGCCTCCCAAAGTGCTGGGATTACAGGCATGAGTGACTGCGCCTAAACCCCGCAGGACTTTTTAACTTTCAGATTTGCTCACAGAGTCCTCCAGAAATTAGTTGCTTAATTTCCTTACCCTGGCACTGGTTTCGACTTGTGGTTTCTGCTCAGGTTAAGTTGTGATTCTCTGTATTCACCTGTTTGTTTGTCCAATTCAGAGGTGGAAGTTTGTCCTGTGACTTCATTTCTCTGACTTATCTAAGAAGAGTTGTTGATTTTTCAGTTTTATCTGCTTTTTATTTCTTACGAAGGAGTGGTAACTTCTAACCTTCTTACACACTGTATCTAAAGCACAAACAGTTGTGTTTTAGTACTGGAAGTTCTATATTTCTGGAAACGTCTTAGTTCTGGATACACTAGGATAGTTAGCTACCCTAGGAATATAGCATAATTTATTTACCCATTTTAATTCAACATAGCACTGAAGTACTAACAAGAGCAATTAGGCAGAGAAAGAACTAAAAGGCATCCAAATAGGAAAAGAGGAAGTCAAAGTGATTCTCTTTGCAGACTAAATGATCTTATATAGAAAAAACCCTAAAGACTCCACCAAAAAACTCTTAAAATTGATAATGAAGTCAGTAAAGTTGCAGGATACAAAATCAACATACAAAAATCAGTAGCAGCTGGGCGCAGTGGCTCATGCCTGTAATCCCAGCACTTTGGGAGGCCAAGATGGGCAATCACTTGAGGGCAGGAGTTCGAGACCAGCCTGGACAAACAGGCGAAACCCCTTCTCTACTAAAAATACAAAAACTAGCTGGGAGTGGTGGCAGGCTTGTAATCTCAGCTACTCAGGAGGCTGAGGCAGGAGAATCGCTTGAACCCAGGAGGCCGAGGTTGCAGTGAGCCGAGATCAGCCACTGCACTCCAGCCTGGGTGACAGAGCTAGACTCTGCCTCAAAAAAATAGAAATAAAAATAAAAATAAAAATCAGTAGCATTTTTATACACCAATAATGAACTTGCTGAAAAAGAAATCAAGAAAGCAATCCCATTTAAAATAACTACAAAAATAAAATAAAATACCCATAATAAATTTAACCAAGGAGGTGAAAGACCTCTACAATTAAAAGTATAAATCACAGATGAAAAAATAAATCAAGATGACTCAAACAAATGAAAAGGCATAAGATGGTCATGGACTGAAAAAATATATATTATTAAAATGATCGTACTACCCAAAACAATCTACAGATTCAAGGCAATCCCTATCAAAATACCAATGGCATTTCTCATAGTAATAGAAAAAATAATCCTAAAATTCATGTGGAATCACAAAAGACTTCAAATAGCCAAAGCAATACTGAATAAAAGGAACAAAGTTGAAGGCATCACATTATCTGACTTCAGAATCTACTATAAAGCCATTGTAATCAAAACAGCATGGTATTGATATAAAACAGACACATAGGACAATGGAAGAGAAAATCCAGAAGGAAATTCACATATTTACAGCTTAATGATTTTCAACAAAAATGCCAAGAACTCACATCAGGGAAAGAACACTCTTTTAAAAAATGGCGCTAGCAAAAGTGAATATAAATATGCAGAAGAAATGAAACTTGACCCCTATCTCTCACCATATACAAAAATCAACTCAAAATGGATTAGAGACTTAAATGTAAGACCGGAAACTATTTATCCCTTTTGACAATCAAGGACATTTATTTGCTTTTCCATGTTTCATGCTATTATTAATAATACTGCTGTAAGCATTTATATACCTCTCTTAATGAGTATGTTCAAGTAGTTCTGTTGGTTATATACACAAGAATGGCATTGCTGGTTCAAAGGATATGGACGTCTTCAACTTCACAGATAGTGCTACATAGCTTCCCACAGTTGTAGTGTAAATTTTCAATCAATTTACACTTCCATTGCTAGTGTATTCTAAGAGTCAGTTGCTCCTCAGACTTGTCATCACTTGGAATCATCAGGCTTTAATTTTAACAACACTAGTTGGTATGTAGTGGCATCTCATTTAATTTTAATTTTTCATAGGCCTCTTTTTAAACTGTGTACCAGGATACTACTGGCACCCAGGCAGACTTGGGGTATGGTTACCTTTCAGGTCAATTCTAAGCAGTCTAGACTCTAACACACATTGCTTCTTGCATGTCAGAGATGTCAGTGTGCCTGAGGGAGCCATATTTATCTGAAACTCATTTACAAAAGTGAGGGACGCTCTTGACTGTATGTGAATAAGGAGGGTGGGCTCTTAGCAACAAACAGCAATGTTGCCAAGTTCAGAGACATCATTAGCTTGAGAGATTCAATTGCATTTTTCCATCCCAGGGCTCACTACTCTAATCATCAGGGATTCTGGAATGGTACATGGACACTGTCAACCTCTACTGCTTTTCTCTATAACCCTGGCAATAGCACAGAATAAATCCAGATGGTGTTCTCTTCCTCTGTGGCATCCCGTTAGTGAGGTTCTCTTGGGCACACTCTGGCCCTGACCTACCTGTCCAATGATGGTAAGGAATACATTGGTCACACTAGCAGAAAACAAAGTTCTATTTAAACTGGCCAAGCTCATGATTAAACCGGAGCATATTGTTTGGATATTTTTCTCCTGGCTGTAGTAGCATAGCCAGAGGGCTGCCAAACCAGATGTCATTGAGACAGGGATGTTGCCCACCTTCTTGAACACCTGCTCCTGGGACACCAGCAAGAAGTCTTCTGAACACTGAGAATTGTGAAGACAAGGCCCTGCCCAGGGCATTCAGCAACTGACCTCTTGTGGCCTGCAGTCTCTGCAGGGGTCCTGATAAAAACAAAGACTTGAGGTTTAGGAAAAAGCTGTATGAGTAGTGGTTATCAAAGCCACTCATTCAAGGTCAAAGCTGCTTATTCAAGGTCCCTAAGAATTATTCCCCCCCGCAGGGTGCCATGACTACTTTCCCCTGAAACTTTTCCACCCTTTTTGACTCTTACTTTGCCTGAGAAAATCAACTTGTTCTCTGTTTGTTTGTTTGTTTGTTTGTTCTTGCTCTTCCTGACTGGTTTGACCAATGAATAGTACAATGACTGGCTCTACTCTCCCCCTGGCTGCTGCTGGCTGTGTCTGCTTTCCCAGGCCTTTGCCTTTCGATTCTGGGCTGGCAGTGCAGTATGGAGCCCTAATGACTTCCATTGCTTGATAATTTGGCCTGTGTTTTGTGACTCCTTACTAAATATTGAGTCTGACTCACCTTCACCTGGCGGTTCAGAAAAGGATCATGTTTCTCATCCTTCCCGGAAGATGTAATATGGATAAAAGACCAACACGGCACATGTATACATATGTAACAAACCTGCACATTGTGCACATGTACCCTAGATCTTAAAGTATGATAATAATAATAATAAAAGATGTGTATCCAGAAATCCTTACTGAGGAGCCTGAATCAGTTTCAGGCCCACGTGGCTCATAAATACTCTATATACATCAGTACTGAAGCACATTCGCAAATGATGTTTTTAGAAGAACTAAAGGGTGAGCAGAATCCCAGGACTTCCAGGGAAAGAAACAATCTCCTCCACTGTGCCCACATAGCCAGATTCAAATGCTGTTTATGATTTTATAATGGTATACAGAATCACACAACAGAAATGTGCCAGAAAGGGCTTCTGGTTAAGATAGACATTTGAAAAGTAGGCATTTGTTTGAAAAACTTTAGGCTCTTTTCCTCATGAATCTTTTTCTGTGCTTAATATCCAGAAAGTTGGAAAAAAAATACGTTTTCATTCATTTTTCAACTGCTTTGCATATCCTGCCATTGTTGCCTTCCACAGCCTCGGCGCTAGACAGTGGCTCTAATACCGGACCTGCCTTCTCCCCTCAGAAAGGCTTGTGCTCACTGCTCTGAAGATACGGCCTCAGGGTCATCCCAGGCCATTCTGTAGCTTGGAGCGGAGGTCTACACACAGTGGATTTGGCTGTCTCACTGTAGCACCAGCTGGTTGTCTATGGTAGGAAAGAATTGAAAGAGTATTTTACACCATGGAAATTGTCTTTCAGGCCCAGATGGACCGTCGCCGTTCTAGCTTTGACAGGCCAGGATAGATATATTCAGAAAGCCTTCCAGCTATTTAGTAACTCTTCCAAAACACTGTCAGCACCCATGCTAGGATGCAGGGAGTGGGAAGGAAGTCTAAGTAGGGAACTAAGCCTAGTTAGTATATATTTGCATAATTATCTTGCAGTGAATGGATGTGTGACTGGGGGCAGGGTGGGGGTCTCATGGACACTGGAAGCCAGAAAGAAGTCTGAGCCTACCTGGGTCAGCGCCTCTGGGCCCCTTCAATGCAAACTCTTTTGTATTTTAATTATTAGGTTAAAAGGAGAAAAGCTTCTCCAAATCAGCTCACCTGGGAGTTAAAGAGCTAAGTTTGGGCCCCAGACGCTTGAATTTGCCTCCTGTTGTCTGAAGGGCAGGGGTCAGCCTGGGGCCACCTCCACCTGCAGCCTCTCTTGGAGGGTGAGGCAGAAATAAGGTGGTGGTAGCTAGATCTCTTAGGTCATGGTCACACACCTGGAATCAAAGATGCTGTGCCATAGCAAGTATTTTTAAGACAAGATTATAAAGATACTATAGAATTCATGGCAGAGGCACTCTGCATTTAAATATAGCTTTGTGACTGTTAGCAAAATGCTGTGGTTATGATCTATTAATATACCTGTTTGCCTAAGACAGAGAGCAGGGGGTGGATGGAAGGGGGAGAGTGAGAGAGAGAGAGAGATGGGTAGGGAGGAGAGAAAGAGAGATAGCACACTTCACCTGAGTTATAAAAGCTCGTTTATTTTAAAGCTAAGCTAATGCCCCTTTTTTGATTAGACTTTTCTTTTTTGCTTGGAAAGTTCTCTAATGAAAGCTTTCAAGAATTTTAACATTTATCAGTCAGGGAGGGGAAATTAAAGGTATAAATGGTGGTCTGCTCTGCCTTGTTTACTGACAATCCTTGACCTCACAAAGTAGTTTTCTAGGCTGCAGAAATCCCTACAATTCTAAATATTTTCCTTCATACATAGCATTATAATTTTTAAATTTAAAAATTTCTTCAAGCTTCCTAAATCAGCACATTTAAATGAAAGACAGTGCAATTGCTGATAGGGAATTTAGTCTTAATGCCTTTCATAAGAAAACCTGGAGGATTTTTTTTCCCTTTTCTTTTTTGGTTTTGTTTTGTTTTGCACCTGTATGTAGAACATAGAATTAAGCTCTGGTTTTATGATTATGTGTACACTAAAAATACTCATAAAGTATTTTTTAATGCTTTAAAGAATTTCCTTCAGCACTTTAAGTAAGTTATTGCACATTTTAGTTGGGAATTACCAGTTGTGTTTTGACGGACTAGTAATTAATTATTGAACAGATCCTTGCCTTAAAATAACTGTATTAATGTCCCTGTGATGGCTGATTATGAATAAGTTCAAAATAAACCTCCTTAAAAGAACAGCTCTGGAAGGAAACAGGTTGTCTCAGGTAAGGCAGCTGACTTATGCTCTGTGGGGTAAACGACTGCATGTTTAAAGTGAAACACCAGACTGCTTGGCTATTAGCCAGTTTCATGTAAATAGGAAAAAAAAAAAACAACCAAAAACGCTCTCCTCCTGTGTCTGTATTTCCATCACTTTCCTCACTTAACAGGCCAACATGGTTTAGATTTTGCTTAAGATATTCATTAGAGGCAAAAGAAAAATAAAAATATTATATTTTCCATTGGAACCAAAATTAGGCAACTGAATTGGGCTGCTTTTGAAGAACCACAGTGCCTAAAATTTTCTTTTTTGTTTTAAGTCAACATTACTTTGATAAATATGGAAGTCAGAGTGTTCATAAGGAAAAATACAAGTTTTGTCTAAATAATCAATCCAAAATGAAGTCTTCCCATGTCATTACAATTATGAATCACAAGGGTACATTTTCAATTAGCTTTTGAGTCCATTTGAATCATTTCCCTTAATCCTAATCAGTGTACGTTGGCTGAGCACACAGTGTGTGTGGTGGGGGACAGTGCACAAAGATGTCTGCCTACGAGTGCTGCCTCCAAGGGGTATATGATCACTCAGGTATTCAATGTGCCCTAACAGAAAGCCATTTTTTTGCAGCCTTTTATGTTTCGTTCAGAATTTTCCATAGTTAAGATGTTTCCCCTCAAACTATTTGCTTGAAATTAAATGTGTCCCCCAAAATAAAATATCTGAATATATGAATTTCTGAAAGGTATAAATTTCCTGAAATTTCTGAATGCATAAATTTCCAGTAGACTGTTTGCTTATGCTAGTACTGAAATCTTCAGGCTAAATGTCTTGTTGATTTGCAGTGTTCCTGTGGAATTTAATATAAGTTATACTACATGCCGTAGTAAGAAAGGTCCAAAAAGACGCTCATCTCTCTTTATAATTTCTATAAAACACGCATGCAAAATGTATATATTTGCGTGAAAAATATACAGAGTTGCAGTTAGGCCTTGTTGGTCATGTTTTGGGAACTCTACAGAAAACACCAAAATTCCTGTTTAAAAAATGACTGCCCTTTGAGAGAGCTGCTCAATATTTGAAGATGCACCTCTCTCCTACAGCACAGGAGGATGTGGTTTTAATTTTTCATTTTGTGTCCCTTTTCTTCCTTTGTGCATTCATGGATATTTTAACTTCAAGATCACCAAAATTATTGGACATGTTTTTCATGGTGGCTTCGTTTCTTACAGTGTTTTGCACATAAAAATGTCAAAAGAATATGGCCGACCAAAGCCCTCCCGCATTTGGTTTCGACATAAGTTCCAGTTACACTAATAACCAGGGCAGAATTGGGATTTCTTTTTCTCATTAATAAAGCATACGACTCAGTTCATAATGGGTTATGTTATCTGCCACAAAGACACTGATTCTCCAGTTGCTTAAAGCTTTGGTCAGAACTTACTAGTTTCCTGCGAGTGGCTTCTAGGCAGAGGCTACAGAGGGAAAGGTTGTAGAAATGCTTGCCAGAGGGCTGGACCTGTACCCCCAAGGAGAGAATGAATGATGTCATCCCAAGTGTTTAAAAAAGAAGAGGAAGAAAAAGAATCACATTGTTATCACAATGTTCCCAAACACGAGTCTCATTATGATAATCTCGTTTTTCTCAATCTGCATTTAAAATTTCACCTGACAAACCCTTTATGCTTTTTTTTCACTTAAAGTTGAAGTTAAAACAGAATCTGGCCAATGTCCAACAACCAGAAACAGACAAGCTGGGAAAATGAACATTCTTCCCAAGGAAGGGATGCTGAAGCCTTGCACGTTAGGGGGAAAATCAGAGCAGCAGAATTCCAGCAGTTTTTAGAAAACTACTCTCATTACTCCCATAAGGCAGTTCCAGATATTTATTAAGCAGTCAATACATGCCAGGCTCTGTTCTAGACACTGGGGATACAGCCAGAGCTTTTATGAAACAGTCGGAGTGCCTCGGCAAGGTTAGTAGACACGCATCTTCAACTTTGTGTTCAGCCACATTGATAGCTTGACATCAACCATTGGTGGGTGGATTCACACCACAAAATCAGCAAATGCTACAAGTCATTGCTTTTTCCTTCTCTTCAGAGAGCTGGTTGTTAAGCATTTACCAGTATGTTTACCACTTACATTCTCCTGGGGGCTGGGGAGACAAATAATAAACCATAAATATGTGATATGTCAGGTAGGTGATGGCTATCCTCTGAAGAAGGATAAAAAACAGCAGGGGATTGAGAGAATAATGGATTGAGACACCTGAAACATTGTGCTTTTTGTCTGTTCTTTGTTTTGTTTCGTTTTATTAGATAACATTTCAGACAAGGTAGTTTGACTAAAAAAGCCTTGGACTATGGGAGACAGGAGGCCTGGGTGCCAACCTCTGTAGTTCTGCGATTTTCTATAAGTAACGTTTCTTAAGCCTCAGTTGTCTTGTTTGTAACCTAGCTGGATTGAACCAAATGCTCCCAAAGATTGCTGTCTGCTCTGTGATTCTCTCCTGATTTTTAAACTAACTGATTAAGTGAAATTTCTCGAACTAGGCCAAAAAGACTCATCCCACGGCAGAAACAAATGCTTCCAAAAAAAAAAATCATTACTAGATTCACTTCAGGCCTCCATACAACTAAAAGTACTTATAGAAGAACAGTATCTGGGGATCCAGAGGAGTCACAAGGAATTGCTATCTGCTCTAGATTAAGAGGGCACAGTCACTGTGAAAGGGTTTTCTAGAATGCTTTTACAGAAAGGCCTATATACCTATTTATAGCAAGAACATGGATTCACTTGAAACCTTTTATTTTATTTTTTTTTGAGACAATTCTTGTTCTGTCGCCCAGGCTGGAGTGCAATGGCATGATCTCTGCTCACTGCAACCTCCACCTCCCGGGTTCAAGTGATTCTCCTGCCTCAGCCTCCTGAGTAGCTGGGACTGCAGGCACCTGCCACCAAGCCTGGCTAATTTTTTTTTTTTTTTTTTTTTTTGTATTTTTAGTAGAGACGGGGTTTCACCATATTGGCCAGGCTGGTCTTGAACTCCTGACCTTGTGATCCACCATCTCGGGCTCCCAGGAAACCTATATTTTAAGCTCAATGAGTGCCCTGCTGATTAAGAAAGCAAGACCCCAGGATACTGAGTTTTCATGTGACCCAAATGCCTTGCTGCCTCTGCTCCCCGTCCCCGTATCTCATTGCTTTCCTGCTGCCCTCCTATGGCAGAGAGCATGGATAACAGTGCAAACAAAGAGACCAAGGAGCAGCTTCCACAGTGTCTGAAACACAGCTCACTTCCACTCCGAGGGAGCGCCACACTGCAAGGAAAGTGGCTGGAGAGACCAGCCTGTGGGAAGGGACATGATGGACAGGGCTGGGAGCCTGAACTCCAATCCCAAGTTCATCTCCCGCCTGCTGCTGACTAACTGTGACCTATTAGGCAAATCATTTAAGCCTTCTAAGCCTCAGGCTTTTGTTTTTGCTGTTTTTAATCTATAAAATGTCAAGATGACTATGTGCCAGAGTTGTTCTGTGAATTAAGTGGTGACAACATACCTGATAGTATTTTGCAAACTGTATAAATATAAAATATCATTTCAATAACACTTCCTCTTATTAGTAAAATATTCTATCCCGATAGAGGTTTCCCATTCTGGCCACAAATGTGTTTGATGCCACTTGGATCAAGATTTTAAAAAGAACTGGATTTCCAGATCTCTATGAGAAAAATTTCATAATCATCTTCATACAGGGAGTTGCAGACAGAAAAAGTGGAATCAGATTAGCCGGGCTTAACTTCACCCTGATGGGATATTTCAAAGCTGCAATAATTATAGTTTAGATGCTGAACCACAAACAAATACATTTCCAATGACGAAAATCAGCCCTGTAAGTGTCTGGATGCACGAATGCTTTTCTTTACAACTTTAGAGAGCTCAGCTTGCTGAAAAAATGAAAGGGCAATAAAAGGAATCATGAATATGAAAACTGCCTTCATTCGCATCTTCACTTTTTTCCGTTTTTTTGTCCAGCAATTATTCTAGCTGCGTACTGTCCTCTTCAGTATCACCAAAGGCTTTATGTGACTTTAAATTTCAAAGCTACAGGTGGCCCACAAGCACCACACTTCAAAGACAGTTTTGATTAAATGAAACAATATTTGTGTAATACAGATCCTGGATCTTTGAACTTCTCCTGTTCAATTCATCGTACAAAAGTTCAATTAGGAGAGATCAGAAGACACCGTTTCCATCTGTCACTCAAGTTTGTCTTTTCAAATATCTTTTATGTCAACCCAAGAACAACAATTTATGTTGAGGATGTAATAATCATAATTCAAAAGCCACTTTCAAAAATGGCAATGTCCTTTGCTAGGGAGTGTGGTGTGGGCCCATGTAAGTGCTATTTGAAGTGAAATCTTAAGGCTTGGCAGCCTTGTGATTTCTCGTCGTGTTACGACTTGCTTTACTATTGATAACTTGCACTGACTGCCAACAAAAAAATCTAGCCCAAGAGGCCCCGCGTTTGGTGAGCCTTTGTATCAGTGACTGGAGCATATTTCACTTTTGAATCTTGTGGTTTTTGCCTTCAGTGAAAGAAAAACTGATCCTAACAGTTTTAAACTTGTTAATTCAAGCCATATGTCAGAAAGCCAGTCTCCATATGGTGCCATACCACCTTATATTTACAGGAGGCTGCTTTTCAAAACATTATTCTAAAAGCTATATTTGCCCCAAAGTTAATATGTGGTATCCTGTGCTATTGAGCACTGTTTTTAAAATATCTCAGACTTCGGAATCGCTTGCTGATATAGCAGAAATGTACCGATTATTAAAAACTAATTACTGCCTGCTTTATTGGCAAAAATGTGCTAATCAAGTCCTTGAGCAGGGATGCATGCTGAAAAGGAGAATGCCTTGCCAATCTTCTGTTGCCAAATATGGCAAAAATAAAAGAGGAAACAGAGAAAGGAAAATCATAACCTTGTTGATTATAAATAAGACTCGAATGTTTCAGTGCAAAGTGCCCACAACAGAAATACAGTTACAACGAAGAGACATGATCTCTTTCTGTTCTTGGCTTTGAGGGAAAAGCAAAAGTAAAGTGAAGACTCAAACGTCATAAAAATCCACCACCTAGCAAGGGCCTTCGATCCGGGCCCAGTTCCTTTAAATAGGGGTCTCTCGCCGGCAATCCTATTGACCCGAGATATTAGGGAAGATTCTCCTGTTGAAAATTGAGTTCACTTTCCCAAACACCTACAAGGAGACTACAGATGGATTAGAGCATAATTATCTTCAAACAGCTTTGTTTGATCTGCAGAGTCCAAGCAAGCATGGTTTTCATTTGAGAGACGAGCTTTTGAACGCAGTTGGCACCATATAGACGGTCGGTGCGTGTTAAACATATCGTTTCTTTCTTTTTCTGCCTGGAAAAAAAAAAGTGTTTTCCTTGTGTCTGGTTCCTGGTGGGCATTTATATCTCTGTTCTTACTTTAGAGACTCTTGCAAAGTTCACTGGCAAGATCCTCGTACGTGGAGGGCAGCCTGTTCTGCTAAGCGGCTCTCCTTGCTTGCTTTAATTCACTCCATTCTTCACGGAATCAATTTTTGTCTTTTTGTTTGTATTTCACACATTTCTCCCCTGCTTCTCCATTTCCTTTCTCCCATATAACTGCTTGCATTTTTAAAGTATGCATCTTCTCCTTCCCCCAACTTCTCCTTTTTTTTTTCTGGACAAATCAAAAAATGGCATGAGGTTTTTCTTTGAATCTTATAAAATAATTCCAAGGAGTTTTCTAAATCATAAACAACATATTGATTATAAATACTACAATGCCGTGAAAAAGATTTGAATGATAACAAAAGGGTTATTTATGCATAGGTCCCAAGTCATAAGCAATTAAATCAAGAGGAAAATGATTTGAGAGTCCAAACCATTGGACTCTCATGGATCAGCCTCTCAACTTAAAAAGCAGGACAGATCTGTGATGGGAAGAAAAATGATGGTTGTATTCAAGGGCATTACAAAAGTCATGACTTAGTAACTAGTTATGGTCCTAGTGATACCTTTATTTCTAAGAACAAAACTCAGCAGTTTTCTGAAATTAGAAACACACAGGTGTGAATGAACTGGCTCAAGGACTGAGAAAAAAAATCCATTCATAAATACTCCCAAGTAATCAAGCAGTCACAGCTCACAGTCCCCTTTACTCCTGCAGCCTCAGGAAAGGTCGGGATGAGAAGGATGCCTTGTCTGTTATGCTGTATTCATGCCAGAGAACAGGAACTCAAGCCAGCCACTAAATTCAGGACTGAAGCAAAGGATTAATGCATTTTTCAGACTATTAGGTAAAACCCAACCTAAATAACTCACTACATGAGATACTGTCCTGCTGTTTGCAGCTGATCTTTGGTTAAGAATGAGAAATAGTAACACACTGTGCTTTCTCATGGCAGATTTACCTGACTATTATCTTAGTCTAGGAAAGATGCTCTTTCTGATCTTGACTTACTCAGATTTGTCCTTGTGCCGTTGAATGAAAGCAACATGTTTCCAAGTTAGGACAGTTTCCTTAGTAGCAAAATTGCTTAATTGGCAACTCATTACCAAGGTAGAAAACTATGTTGTAAATGGACACACACGCACAAGCACACACACAGAATCTTAAAGTTTAGTTTTCTATTTTGCTTTGTTCCTCCCTTCTGTTTAGGTTTCTCACTGTGATTCATGCTCTCCCATGCCTCAAAGTCTGCTAGTGAAATATGTAGACCACTATCCACCTCCCCGCTTCTGATATTATAAGAAAATTCTGACTCTGATATACATACACTTCCTAAATCACAAGAGACATTTTATGATTGATGCCCAGAACAAATAGCACATGAAATTCTATGAAGCCGAGGGCTGTGGGATTAAGAAAACAAGTCAGTTCTGGTCTTCAAAGAAGGAGCTGTTTTCATGTAGTTTGAGAATAAAACCATATTACCCTAACAGAGTCCAGTAATTGTGAATTCTTGGTATGCTGCTATCAGAAAACATCTGACAGTGACACTGACTATTTATGCAAGAACTACCTGAATGCAGTTTAGTATTTAATCCAAGCCCCACCATTCCTAGCACAATTCTACTGGAACTTTACGCAGAGGATGGCAGATGATGAAATTTCTAAAGGAATCAACTGCTGGACAGTTACTAAATTAATTTTTAGGAAGCTGAATCACTCTGAACTTATTAGGTTAACTGACCATCAGCAGTGACTCCAGGAAATGAATTACACATATTGGGCTGCTACCCAGGCTGCAGCTTCTGATAAATTATTAATGTCACAGAATTGAGATGATTAAATTATAAATAGCATTGTTTTACATACACGTAATTTGAAATATTTGTCCCTTTTCTTAATATTTTCCTCTGAAGTTACCATGTTCGTTGTTTATAGTAGTAAGGGTGGTACAGCATTAACCAAATTATTAAAACATTAAATAAGTAATTGTGTCTTATTGAGATGTATGACAAATGAATGCAACCAAGCAGTGGAGTTTCTGCCTCTTCCATTTAATTAGAGTTGCCTTTTAGGAATTTAACATTTCATTATATATAAATGAGTACATTTACACATTGTCACTGCCATCTAGGATTTAGTTTTCAAAAACATATTGTTACTGTCCATGGCCTTTTACAATAATGGTGCAATACTGACTACATTGAAGAAAACTGATGTTTTACTAGAAAAAGGATGTAGTTTATGTAGTAGTTATATTAATCATTCTATTTTCTTAGTATAAAAAGCACTTTGCATATTTCAAAACTGCAGATTAAAATGTGGTCTGAAATACGCATATCGTCATTTGAAAGGAAATACAATCTCAAGTTTTAAGTTACATTTTTATTCCAATTGCCTTCAATAAATGTGGCCTCATTATTTGTTTTACTTGTAAAGGTAAATATGGATGTTTTAAAATGAATTTTTTTGTTCTGTTATCTTTGGATAAAGAGGCTTACACTGATTTCAACCAAACAATTCCTCATTGTGAAATAATAATTCTGTCATCAACATGCAGACAGCTTAGTGGTTACACAGCAGCTAGCTATCCTATCCCACCTGCAGGTATCCTTGTCAATGCAACTTTGATTTGTCAGGCAGCTGGTTGAGATCCCTTGAAGTCAAGATGAGCCAGGTCTGGGAGGATTCCTGATGATATCACTTTGTTACCCAAATTTCCTTCCCCGTGGCCAGTGACTGGGTAACAAGTGAGCATGGGACAGTGCGGATGATTTGAACTCAAGACGAGATCCACTAGAAGCATGAAGGAACAAATGGTGGTGTGCCAGGAGACAGGTGGGAGGAAGGTTCCCTTCCTGATAAAAAGACAAAATGTCTCCACACAAAACCACTTTGTCTTCCTGTCTGTCTCCTTCTTTTGTTGTTGAGCATGTATGCACTGCTGGGCATGCAGCTTGCCCTGTTCTGTGGGCTCCCAGTGGCATCAGGAGGCTGACAAACTTGTGCCAGCACCTACATTCCACTGGGCTCATCAAGGCGAGAACTAAGCTCCTGGCTGTTTAGCCTGCTCTTCTTTTCTTGTTACTTGCACCCAATGTAGCCTAACTACTACAATCAGTAGGAGATAATACGATACAGAAATGGAGCTAGATGGCATCTGCAATTAACTCCTGCAATGTTGCTGTAGTTTTTAAAAAATTGACTGCTTTGAAGGATAATATTTTTCTAGATATTCTCTTCTATTCTAAAAAATGTGTCATTCTGGGTGGACACAGTTCCTCATGCTTGTAATCCCAGCACTTTGGGATGCCAAAGGGGGAAGATTACTTAAAGCCAGGAGTTTGAGACCAGCCTGGGCAATATAGTGAGGCCTTCTCTCTACTAAAAAGTTAAAAAGAAAATTAGCTGGGTGTGGCGGTGCATGCCTCTAGTCCTATCTACTTAGGAGGCTGAGCAGAGAGATTTACTTGAGCCCAGGAGTTTAAGGTTGCAGTGAGCCATGATCGCGCCACTCTGTTCCAGCCTGGGTGACAGAGTGAGACCCTTTCAAAAAAGGAAAAGTGTCATTCTGAAATTTGAGTTGCTACCTCCTGTGTTAATTCCAATTTAACTTATTAGGGGAAAATGCTTTATTGCTTTATTTGTCAAAGAAAGCAGAACCACAATGACACAATGATTAAAATGCCTTTGAGGAACAGAACCACTTGTGCCAGACTTTTGCCACCTAGATGTCTTTTTCTTTGAACCCAGATGTTTGGATATTCCCCCAAATCTTCATAACTACTGGGGTAATCCTGTCCCTTAAGCATTAAATAATAATTCTAGAATATTTATCCCACAAATAGTAGAAATAATATTCCTCTTGGACTGAGGGTGGTGATGTTACATTTAGCGCAGTTACCTCTGGTCTGATCTCTGCCTTCTGCCTTTTGTTCCTATTTCCTTCTCTTCTGCCATTATTTTTCCCAGACATAAAACACCCTCTTTTCTGTTATTACATTTATTCTTTCAACATATACTTTTCAACTTCCAACCGTGTTGAGAAAGATTAATGCTGTGGAGATCAAATGGAACATTGTATGCAAAGTCTCTGGCACGAAGTGTGCCCATGAATACCTTGCTTTCCCTTTCATGACACAATCCTGATTAGGGGCAGAAACCTTGATGTGATAGATCCGAATTTTAATCCCTGTTCCACTGTTTACTACCTGTTAGACCCTCAACTGATTTGTTTTGTCTTTATGAACCTTAATAAAATGGGATCTATCATAATACCTAACACAATAGTTGAAAGGACCAAGTGAGATACTGCAGTAAGATATTTGGCAGATCCATTCTTAATTATTATTGTGGTTTGGATGTTTGTTTTGTTTTGTTTTTCTCCAGTCTCCCTTTGTCATGTGGGTGCTTGGTACCACTCTATACTTTCTTCTCATCCATCCGCTTAGGGATGTCAAAATAGCAGCTAAAATGCAAACTTAACGCAGAATCTATGTAATCCACAGGATGTATATGATTTGTTTTATTAAAGCAAAACTGTTCTAGGTATCAACGATTTCATTTTATTTTGTTTTGTTTTGTTTTGACATGTGGACTAAACACTGCTTTTGATGTTCTTAGTGCTTTTAGGGGCTAGCCTGATAAGGGTTTTGTGTTTGATCTAGGAGCTATCATTTTTTCTGAATCTCATACATGTTTGCACAGAGAGAAATGTTTATACTCTTTATTAGTCCTCTCTTAAGATGCCAGAATTCAATAGGATACAGCAACATGTATTTCTTTTTAAAAAAACTGGAAGGTTTGATGGACTTCAATAAACCTGTTTCTGTTCCTTCGCTAAAAAGAGAAAGTTCTAAATATAATGATTTTTTTCTGGGAGCATTTTATTCATCCTGCCATGCTCAAGTCATGACAACTGCCCCACAGGTTTTGATGATACAATATGTATCTGCTCAAAATTGGGGTAAGACCAACTTGCCCACTTGAAGATCAATTGGTTTCTACCTGTGGAGCAATGCACAGATTCCTGTGGCAGCCATCCCATAGAGTGTTTCAATACAAATGCTTTATTCTTTTTTTAAAGAAAACAAAAAGCCATTCTTTACATAGAGAAGGTGACATTTTTGAAAATCATTGACATTTTTCTATATCCTAGGCTATTTCAAGCAGTGACATTAAATTAATTCAAAAGAATTAGAAAAATTTCCCACAAAGTGTGCAGCCAAATACAAAGTCTAAATGTATAAATATGATCAACTGCTGAAGAATTCACATATTCAATATTACCCTTAATTATGTGACACTGAGTTTCCTCTTATCAAGTTGATAAGACTAAGTGATGAAGCTTAGATTTGAATTTATACATCATATTTTAGTTCCCCTACATCTGTTTATATGAACAAAAGTATCAGTAAATATGTTTAGAACAGCTATATTTCTGAAAAGTTGTCTCCAAAATAGAATTTTATGTATGAAACATTATGCAAAAATGTAATTTTGAATTTGAAGAGTTCCATTTGTCGATTATAAAAAACACAGGAGATTTTTTTTCCTGGTAATCTCAAAGGAATCTTAGATACTGTTAAGTCCAGAGGTCTTAAAGAAGGTTTTGGGGAGAGGATATGGTAATTAATTCTTATCTATTTATGTTTACTTAGACTAATAAAAAAACTTGAACTTTACTAATATTTAATATATAAACTCTCTCCCATGCTGTCACCCAGTCTGAAGGTCAGAGGTCCAGGGCTGTATCCCCCAACTTTGCACACTCATCAGACCAATCAGGATGGACACCACCCACAGAGATGCAGATGCTAATATCCTGGGCAGATGTGAGGGTTTAGAGGAAGGGCCAGAGTGGTGGGTATTTTGAGGAGCTTGGGAAAGTGACTATTTACATCTAGTATGAAAATGATTCAATTCTTTAACAACCAGTATAGCAACACTATTGCTTTCCATTTGCGTATCAGTGCTGTATGAATCCCTCGTGGTACCCATGGTAAACTGAGGGAGAAAAAGGGAGTTCTTCCACGTGAAGCCAGGGACAGGGCGATTTTAATCACAAGATTGCCTAATATATCATTACACAGTAGAGTTTATGTATACCTAGTTAAGCAGATTTAGGAACTAGATTATGTAGTTTCAGCTAGACTAACCAGCACAAAATGGACAAGTGATTTAAATTACTCCTGTAAAGAAGCCACTGATTTCAGATGCCACTGGTAAGATAAGCCCATTTGAAACAATTGAGGGAAGAGCTCATATAGCATAAGTCATGACATTTTAAAACATGAAATGAAGAGGCTTGCAAAAAAAGGAGATAAATAAGTCTTTAAAAATTGTATTTAACATATGGATCTGCATCCAATTCAGTAATGCTGAATTGTACTCTAAGTGTGTATTGTCTTTTAGATAAAATAGGATTACATAATCATGGTTAGGAAGATATTTAAAAATATTGTACAATTTTTTCATCATCTCAAGCTTTTAAAAATCTAAGTTTAGAAAATCAGGTTCATAGAAATGATTAATGTATTTTAAATTCAGGACTCTATCGACCTTGGTTCATGCAAGGCCCCCTCTCGTTTTAATTATACTTCATTGTATGACATGAAACAGGCATGATTCATGAGTATACATGAATTCATCACCCAAGGCAAGAACTAAAATGTTACCAACAATTTACATGTACATATATCTTGGGATTATTTTATTTTCTGTTTCACATATAGTTTATAATGTATATAATGTAGCTATGTGGTAGTACTTTCCCATAAGTTAGAATAAATAAGTTTGCATTTAAGAGGATGAACTTTTTATTAATCTGATGAGGTGCCTATCAAAAAAATAAAAATTTTAGAGGCTACTGGCTTAGTCTACTATTCATTTTCCAGATGGGCATTTGGGTCCCACAGACATTTGGCTGTCTGCCTCTTTTCCCACATCTAGTTAGTGTGTAAGAAACAAACTCCAAGATAAGCAACACTCTGATTCAAATTGCCATGTGAATAAAGCATATATTGAAGACTGGATCTGTCTAGATGATGATGGGAAAGGAGATTGGAAGCCAGGGAGCATGTTCTCGTGGCATCCCGATAAGCACTTATCAACCTGAAGTTAGTCAGCCGTGAACCATAGCCTCTTCTGCAGACCTCATACCCTCATACCTAATCCCTTGGCTGAATGTCTATATCTGTATATATTTTTTGCAAAATGATTACTGCAATTTTAAGTGGACATAGAAATGGTCCAGATACTATAACTTAATCCAGGTGCATTCAGACATCTCAGGAATAGCATTTTAAATATAAACAATTGTATATTTATGTGAGCACTTCTAGGTGTACAAGTCAAAGTCTTATCCATAGAAAATGCCACAGAATTTAATTTACCAAATTTCATATTCTGAATTTCTCTGCTCAGTACCTGGGAGTTACTCATATTCTGAAATTTGGTAAATTAAATTCTTCTCTCTTAAAAGATAAGAGCTTATTCCAAAAGAAAAAAATAAAAGAACACATAGAAAATCAAAGCCTTCTTAAAGGCATTGTATTTTTTCTAAAACACATAGGTTTAAATCACAATATTTTAGAAACATATAAATTGAGCAAAGTTTTGGAGATCTTCATTCAATTTGGAGCTATAGGTACTACAAACTCAATAATCCATTATAAAACAAATAGAAAACACTAAAAACCTCTCTAATGATCACTCAGTTTATAATTCTTCAACTATTTAGAAATTATTTTTTGAATTCTTCTACAACAATACACAAAAGGAAGAGGAGTCTCTCTTAATTATATTTCCTCTCCCCTTTTTCATGGCACTTTGCCCACAGTACTTTTACCACACTTATCACATTACACAACATTTTTCATCTGGGTGTTTCTCTCTGCTCAGTACCTGGGAGTTACTCAGAAGGAATTGTGTTTTGTTTATCTTGGTGATCCCAGAGCCTAGCAAAAAGTTTAACATATAGTACACCATCCATAAGGATTTTTGAAATACAGAATTTCCAGCTGTCTCCTTCAATTTAACGATGGTCAAGCTTCAATGCCCCTGCTTTTGATGAATGCCAGAGGTGCAATAATAGAGCTGATAGCTAGTAGGGTGTACATGGGGATCAAAGCAGATAGTATTGTCCAGGCTTCCAGAGGTGAATAATCCAGTGTGACTCATTGGTTCTGCCAAAGGTTGACTTGAGAAGAGAGACTGTCCCCTAGAGTCCAGCCACATCTTCAGCTGATCTGCTGTCTTGTGATATTGTCCATTACATCAGAACACAAAGACTATGTAAAGCCTGCACGCAAAATCTAGAAACATAAAAGCACTATGTCCCTATAGTAATTCATGCTGCAAGTGTGTTTGGAGTAACAATTCAATAACAATGTAAGATTAATCAACTCCCAAAAGTACCCTCTTATATTGTTCTCATATTTTACTGAAAGCTATTATTAGATATGTCTTATTCTCTCTTCTTTCCACAGCCCCTAGAAAGTTAATCCTACTTTGAAGACCTCTAATTTCCCAGTCCTCAGCCATAGCTGATTGGACCAGGAATAGGTGTCTGAATGAATAAACCACTGACTCTCAGAAATTTGAACTGAAAGAGACAGAGCTACTTGAGCTGAAGAGTCATATGGAGGCTCCATGGAAGTAGTGGTTTTCAGCAAAGCATAAGATAATCAAACATCAGATACCCTTGGAGGAGAGAATGACAAATGGATAGATGTACAGAGTGAAATGAAGTCATAAGAAAGAGAGATGCAGAGATGGCATTATGTGAAGACATTAACCTTGGTTACCAAATTAAATATCCAGGCCCTGGACAGCCAACTACATTTGCCTCATCTTTTTTTTTTTTTTCATTGACAAATAAAAAATATGTTAGGCCGGGTGCGGTGGCTCACACCTGTAATCCCAGCACTTTGGGAAGCCAAGGAGGGTGGATCGCCTGAGGTAAGGAGTTGTAGACCAGCCTGATCAACATGGAGAAAACCCGTCTCTACTAAAAATACGAAATTAGCCAGACGTGCTGGCGTATGACTGTAATCCCAGCTACTTGGGAAGCTGAGGCAGGAGAATTGCTTGAACCTGGGAGGCAGAGGTTGAGGTGAGCCAAGATTGAGCCATTACACTCCAGCCTGGGCAACAAAAGCGAAACTCCGTGTCAAAAAAAAAAAAAGTATATATGTTAGTTATGTACAACATGATGCTTTGAAATATGTATAGGTCTCACATTTTTAGATACCAGTGAGGTCAACTTTCAATTTGCTGCTACTTAAGCAAACTTAAATTTTGTTTACTTAGGCAAACTTGAGTGGCCCTCTGATCACTGAGACAAAAACCAGAAAATGCTTAATAGAATGAGATGAGAGAAAAATTGGTCATATAAGAATAATTCTGCATCTTGGAAAAAAATGCTCACAGGTCTTCCTCATTACACAGCTCAGAGGCCCACATTTAAGCACTGATGTGTGAAACTCTCTCAGATTATATTCATTTTATATTATTGAACAGAGAAATTAGACCACCTTTTTGTATAGACCCCTTTGCTTTTGCTACCAGGCAGCTCAGAACAACGTTTAACATAGATTATCTCTGCTTTTCTTATGTGTCTATGTAATGCTTGCCTGTTTGCTTCTTGTGTTATTTAAATTAGAAAGTTTGTAGCATTTATCTTTTTTGTATACTTATAGTTTAACTTAGTGTTTTTATAAATTCCATATTTTGTTTTTATAACTATCAATTAATTGAACAAAATGAGTAATATTCAAAACTCTTATAAACATTGTGGAAAAGTTAGTGAGGAGGTAAACTTAAAAATGGTAAATTATATTAATTTAATATATTCTTAAATTACTAGTTTTCAGTAGGTAGGGGTCCAAAGAGTGCCCCAATTAGGCATTTAATAAATACATTTCTTTTTTTTTTTTTTTTTTGAGACGGAGTCTTGCTCTGTTGCCAGGCTGGAGTGCAGTGGCACTGTCTTGCCTCACTGCAACCTCCGCCTCCTGGGTTAAAGCGATTCTCCGGCCTCAGTAGCTGGGATTACAGGCACATGACACCACACCTGACTAATTTTTGTACTTTTAGTAGAAATGGGGTTTCACCATGTTGCCCAGGCTGCTCTGAAACTCCTGAGCTCAAGAGATCCTCCTGCCTGGGCCTCCCAAAGTACTGGGATTACGGGCCTGAGCCACCACGCCCAGCCAATAAATGCATTTCAATAATAAGTATATCTAAGAAGAAAGTAAACTTCATTACCAGATAAACAAAGTATTTTAGAAAATAAAATAGTGTTGATTTTAGCCAAGGTCTTATTTTTTAAAGGCACATTTGAGAATAACTGACCCATATTATGGCAAAGCAAGTACAATTTACTAACAGATAACAAGATAAAGTATGACACATATCTATAGACATATACAGAAAGAACTAGTCATCATGAATACTCTGCAGATATTATGTCGTGCAATTCTGGTGTTAACTGTTTATCCTCTGATAGAGGCTAGGTAAAGAGTTAGAGAACAGTTGCTAAAGGAGCTGTGTCTCTTTTTCTTCTCTATCCTCAGATCTTTCTTTCTGATATTCTTTCATTTCTGTGCTGATGATTGTCTCTGATATTTCACTACACTTTATGTCTTCTTGTTTTCATGCCCATGACTGCTGTTATTCTAACAGCAAAGACTTTGGTGGACTGTAGTTATTTCTGCAACTCTAACCTTGTTGTTCCTGTTAACCTCTGCATGTACCCGTATAATTTTGGAAACTATAGTAACATAACTCTCTGCTACAGCAAGTTTCAAATTAGCAACTATAAATGTTTCTTTCTTTCTCTACACAGAAGAGTACAGAAGGACCTTGGAAACAGGATTATTTTTGTCAGAGAACAAAAACTTCCAGTTGCAAGTTGGCTTTTGAATAGTCTCCCTTCTATTCCTCCATCACTTCCCATAGTTCACCCTGTGTTCCACTACACACACTTTCCTTGGCCCCAGCAGCACAGGTTGCTTAATCATTTCATAACCATGTATGTGGTTATGAATAGGTACTTGAACAAGAGACAGCAGTTATTTTTTTTCAGCGTAAAATTACATCTGAGAAAGCAACATCAGAAAATCAAGAATCTGCAATAGGCACATCGTAGATACTGAGAGGCCTTGGGTGATTTCAAGTTCCCAAAGTTTCCCAATTGCCACCAGAAATAACATCTCAGGTCACCTCAAAGCCCTTCCAATACGCAGTTTCCATAGAGTTTTTACTGGCCTCTCAGGCTCTTCACCCCTTTTGCTCATGGAGATGCAGTTTCACTCTTGGTCACAGTGAGATTGTCTGCACTCTGTGGACCTCCCTGAAGTCAGGCCGAACCTAGGTGGTACATCTCCCCTGATCGGGAATGAGTGAATGTGTATGAATGAATAGTGTAGCTCTTTCTTACCTCCGCCATTAAGGATGTTTGGTAGAAGAGGCCTCACAGCCCAGAAAACATATATTTATATATTTCCATCTTGAATTTACTCTGAGGTCCCTTATTATTTAGATTAAGAGTCAAGAGTTTGACAAACTTTTCAATTTTCATGGGCTATCCAAATCATTCCTATAGCAATCTAGAGTTGAGTGCCTATGATAATTAGTCCTAGATCTAAGCATTTAAAGCAAATCCACATTTTTCAAATTTTAGGACACATAGGCTGTTACAGAATTTCATCCAAAATAATGCCATATACATATATAGTTTTATATATGTATATAAAATACATATAGTTTTAGTTTTATATATAAAACTATATATAGTTATATATAAAACTATACATGTAGTTTTATATATAACATATATATTTATACATTTATAAATAATTTTAGTGTTTATATATAAAATATATATAGTTTTAGTGCATGTGTGTATGTGTGAGTATCATAAGACATGGTCCACATTTAAGCAATATAATGAAATGTATTTAAAAAACAGGAACCATGTCTGTTTTATTATTTTACCCTCAGTATTTAACAGAGTAAATGGACCATACTAGGTGCTTAATGTATATTTGTTGAATGAATGAATTAAATCAAGGAATTAATGGACGAATTCAACCAGAAAATTTTGCTTTGTCGACGAAATTGTGTTGTGGCTTGTGTGCATCTTGTATGTATCTCTAAACTTGACCTTAAAATCTCTTACTCCAGAACCCTCAGTCTCCAGAGTGTTTCCATCATTTGCAATGACATCTCAGAAGAGCTATGCAGCTGCAGGTTGATCTTGCAATGCACCCAGTACCCACTGCAGTGCCTTTTACCTCCAGGCCACTTAGTTTTATTTTCTTCCTTTGAAAGGAAGGAACCAGCAAGTATCTTCTCATCTTATGCATTATTAATATGTCCCATCAGCATATAAACATATCTACCATAATGTCTGGTCTTTAAAAGTAAAATCAAAACCTCTCCCTTGAATCCAGACTTCCTGTCTCCAGCTACAACCTTATTTCGGATACTTTTTTGAGTTAAAACAAACAAAACAATAAAATAATAAAACCAAAAACTTACAAAAGTGATCTATAGTAGTCCACTCCATCTTCTTACCTTACATTCTCTCTTTAGTTCATTTCCATCAAATTTTTTTCCCTCCATTCCACTAAAACTGTTCTCATCATGGGCATTGGTGACCCCTATTGCCACCCATTGATCACTTGTTTGTTGTTATTTCATTGACCACTCTCTACTTCATCTCTTAGCTATACTATCATGTGACCTGATTTCCTTCCTCTTGCCTAGGACAGTCTGTCTTTGTCTCCTTTGCTGTCTTCCTGCTCTTAGTTTGTTGTGCAATTACCCTTCATGTCCTAGGTCATCTCCAGCAGCTCCTTGAGTGTGCATTCCTTCTAAATATTGAAAACTTGGAAACTTAAAATTCTAGCCCTAAATTCTTTCTAAATTTCCAGAGTCATGTATCCAACTACTTACTTGAAATATTTACTCTGATGTCAAATTAGCATCTTAAACCTTATATATACAAAAGAGAGCTCCTGATTCCTCACTCCTCAACATGCTCAGCCTTCCCCATAGCAACTAACCTACCACCTCCCCAGAGAGTACTCAAGCCAAAGCCTCCAAATCATGCATGATCCTACCGCTCCCCCCATTTCTCCACATTCGACTCATCAGCAAGTCCTTTCAAAAATATCTTTGGGATATGTCCTGAATCTATGTCTGATCAGTCCTGCCTCTACCATCCAATCCAACACACCATTATTTCTTCCCTCAGTAATAGGCAATAGCCTTGTAATCAATCCCTTCTTATTTTTGTGCCTCTATAAGTTATTTTCCCCAATAAACTCAGAATTATTTTTGAACACATGACCCATCCTCCTACCTAATACTTTCCTGCAGCTCACTGCTGCTCTTAGAATTATATCAAACTCTTTTGCAAAGCTTTCAAACTCACAGACCTGGACGTGGACTTATCCTTTCTTTCTCCTACAACACCTCCCTCAAGTTCAACCTTCACTCCACGCTGGTTTTCTTGCTGCCTTTGAACACATCAACATTTTTTTCCTAGTCTTTAGGTCTTCATACCAGCTGTTCTCTTTTTTTGGAAAGCCCTTTGTCCAGATATGCCAATTGCTTATTCATTTTTGTCATTTAAGACTCAGCTCAAGTGTCATCACTCCTGTCACCTTGTCCAAAGGTCAGCCATGCAATTGGAGCTGATCCACCACCACCAGAATGAAACAAACAAGCACATATACATTATACCACATCAATCTGTTTTCCTTTTTAAAAAACACTTTACATAGCTGATATTATCTCCTTTATTTTTTGTTCAGTTGTCTTCCCCAGGTGGAACATTTGGCTGCAATAAAGAAAGAGAGTATAAGCCTCATCCAGGCATTTTTAGAGATATACAATTTTTTAAAAATTGTAAGTACTTTGACACACTATAGATGCACAGTGTCAAGCTGCTTTCTCAGCATGGATATTGTTTTTGAGATTTCAAACAAGAGGCCCAACTTTCAGTGGGTAGCCTCAGATTGCTCTCTGACAACCACTCTCAGCCCTAATTCTGTCAAAGTAGTTCATTAGAATCAGCAAATCTGTGTAAAAGTTCACTGACTTTTATATATATGGAAACTCCTACACAGGGAAATCAGCTGCAGCTTTTGGTGTCACCATGACCATTTCCAATTTTTATTTTTCTTAGCCATCCAGTTAAGGCCTTTTGCAGAGTAAACCAGCATGAAATTGATTTTCCATTGTAATTTAGTCATTTCAGAAGACTCGAGATCTGGGAACACTTTGAAAAAGTGGTGTCAAGTTTTCTACTTCCTCTTTTTCATTTAAAAAATATTTATTTTATTTGGTTGAAAATATCAAAGGCAGATAATTTGTTACTAAAAACAGTTAAAATAAACTTTTGATTCTTTCTTGGTAACTCTAGACAGTTTAGGATGTCTTCTAGGTTGTGAGGATCCTGATCCTAAATAGTTGCAGCTCACTGGATGACCCTAGCTCATTCTCTTTGTGAGATGTGACTTCATTACTAGACTTGACCCAATTTGTTTTCTAATACAGAATATTACAATCTGGGAATTGTATAAGACTTACTTACATAAGTCATCTGTGAAAAACTAATGGATGGGTCTCATCAGCCAGAATTCAAATGCTATACAAGAGCAGCAATTTAAATTACTTGGATCTGGCACTAACCTGCCCCATAAA
The DNA here is from genome assembly GCF_000001405.40 of Homo sapiens. Classification (NCBI taxonomy): domain Eukaryota; kingdom Metazoa; phylum Chordata; class Mammalia; order Primates; family Hominidae; genus Homo; species Homo sapiens. Next base: position 103,025,779 of record NC_000002.12, read on the forward strand.
TATCCTAGAGCTGACATCTGGACCATGCATCTTATATGTTGTTATCATGGAACACTTATATTTAGAACTACTCCTCTCCCCAAGCTCTTCTAAATGTATTGTCATTTTTTCTTTTTCTAGCAAACTAGAAAAATAGTCCAACTGTCACTATCCTCAAGTGCTTCAACTCTACTAGAAAATGGAAAGGTGAGAGAAATTCTGATTAACAAAAACTATTTCCTTTAACTGCAGAAAGGAGAAATAGACAAGTCAAAACCTGAATAGCATTAATAATTTTTTTGAAAATGTATGGATTAGAAGAGAGAGACTTAATTAATTATATAAATACAAAAAAGGACAAGTGTAGCCAGCAGGTTAATAATGAATATTTCAGAAGCTAGTGCTTACAAAAATATATTCCTTAATTATGTTCATTTATAGACCTTTGAAAGAAAGAGTGTTAATGGGCTAAAAAAATTTCAATATATAGGATGAAGATGAATCCAAATGAATTGTGAATGAGAAATTGAGAGCAGATGACATAAGTAGGTTATAAACATTACTGTCTTTTTTTCTCATATACTTATACAAAATGCTCTTTGTTACTTTAGATTTTAGAGGTTGAAGTTCAATGGCATCTTAGACAAGGAAAGATAAACTCTAATGCCTTTTCTTATTTGTTTTGTGTATTTATCTCTAAAACCTAGACTTCCTACCGGAGAATACTTTGTAGCCAATAGTAAGAAAGTCAGATTTTGGATATAAAAAACCAACAACTTTTTAATGTTTGAGAAAAGATGGGCTTGAGAAATCCATTCCAGGTTGTAATCTATTAATTGTGAAGTGTAGTCCACTGAAAATTTGATTTCTATTCCAATATTTGCTTAGGAGCTATAGTTAAATGTTTAATACCAATGATTATTAGCTATGGCTTTGAGACTTGGTCAGACACCATGATTTGCTTTCATCTGACCTTTTTGGAGATTCAATTTATTTTAACTCAACTGAGAATCACAGAGTCAGAGTTGAATGAAATTTTAGAAATCACTGAATACCACTTTCACCCACCACCACCGGATGGATAACTCTGAGTTCCTGATAGAGTAAGTTGCTGTAGTTCACTCAGCCAATCAGAGAAAGAACTTGCACAGACATTAGGAATTCCAAATCACAGGTCTTTCATTGACTCTCAGTGAGATAAGCCAGTCCAAACTATTTGCAAATGTTAAGAAAAAAATCTGGATTCTGCTCAAGACACCACTGTCCTGATTCAATGGGGTCAAGATGAACCAGGACATTCATGTTCTAAGCTGCATGGGATGTCCTGTACCTACTTTATTGAAACAAGCTTCAGTTCTGAATGGCTAATGGATTAGATGCTCTTAATTTTGCTTTTCCATCTTCGTTAATACTTCATAGAAGATATTCAAAAAGCCTTACATTCTATAAATAGAAATAGAATTGCAGATTAGAGATTAGTAGTTTGAAAATACTTCTACAGTCATTTAGCAATGAAGAAGAAAGCCAGTCCTACATGTCCTTTATTTTCAGTAAGATTTTCTCTAAGAAATAGTCCTTGGAGTACTGGAAAGGTAGACTTCAACAAATATCCGTGGCTGGGCAGCCTCAGACTTCAGTGAAATATTTTCCTGATGGTCTTTGGGGGCGACTCCACTTACTTCTCCCACATAAAAGAAATTACTCAGCAGATCTCATGGAGGTGGAATGGCCAAGTCAATTTTTTAAGTACAAAGAAATATTATAGGCATGTAGCAAACTTTGTTGGTTACAAGCCTCCTCATCGAGCTCTTGCTTCTAATTTCCTTTCTAAGAGACCTCCAGCTTAATTGGGGGGTCTAACATCTTTCTTCTGCATCCACATGCTACATTAGGCCAGTCATGGGAATCCCACTTCCCTTGGACATGCTAACTGTTCGAACAGGCATGTGACACACACAGAATGAGCTGTGAGGGTGTTCCTGTTGAATGATTTCTGAGAATTTCTTCTTATAAAAGAGACTGCCAGCAGGAGCTGATGAATTAGCTTCCACTGGACACTGCCACATGTGTGTGTCCCACCCAGGTTGCTGTAGCTGCCCCACAACCATGAGGGCAGCCAGCTGGAGAATGAAGCTGGCAGGCAGGGAGGACAGAGACACGGCAGACAGAATGCTGGTTCTTGGCATTCTGGAACCTCAGATTTCACCAACCCTTTCACTGCCATGCCTGAGACTTCCTGTTATACCAGATAACCACATTTCCTCCTAGTTTTAAGACAGCTAATTGAGGGTTTTCTGTTGCTTCCTGCAGCAAACATCTTAATGGATATACAAATAATATAGAAGTAACATTTCCCCTGACATTTTAAAAAATGTGGCAACCCCTGTCAAGGACTTTCACTTCAGCAGTATACTTCCATCACCAGAGATGCTGCTAAGAATATAGAGTTGGCTAGATTACTATCCCCAGTGATGGAATATTCAAAATTTAATCAGTTTTCAGTTCAAGGAAATAACCGCTAATAAAAAAAATGCTTTTGGATCATTTCATGAGGCAGAGTACTTTATTCCATATGGCATCCTGCACGTCCATATGGCTTCAGGAATTAGAGAGGTATATTTGTCAAAATATTCAATCAATTGCAGCCCTTAAAGTTGATAATGTTATGTGTTTGGAGCATACACCATCTCTTGAATATGGGGGAAAGTCAAAGGAGCAAATGCCAGCCAAAGAAAAATCATAGTGAGTTTATATTCAGGAGAGAAGGAAAAGAAAGAAAAGAGACCTGCACTGCTGTAATTTAATCCAAATCATGTGAATGATATTGACTCGGCACTGCAATAACCTAGTCATGGGTAAAAGCAATGTGTAATAAGATTTATTCAAATAAGAATAGGGCAGGAAAATTCTGATTATTTTACATTTCAATTGGCATAATTTCAAAACATCAACCACATATAAAGCAGTTACCTTAAAGAAAAAGACATGTATTAAACAAATTTAAACACCTTCAACATTTGTAAGTTTTATTTTTTTATTTTTTTATTTTCCTGCACCATTGCCCAACCAGACTTCAGAGATTGTTCTTAACCCCTTCTGGCTTTGGCTGCCTATAAACTGTTTTAGCTGTGACTGATCTAAAATTTCTGCAAACTTGTCTTTCTAGATAAAGAAATTAAGTAGAATAGCTGCCCACGGGGAATACATCATGTCACTGGCACCTTCCATTCTTATGTCCTGTATTCTGGGTCTGAATGCGTGGGGAAGGCTGGCTCAGGAGGGCAGGCTGAGCTTCTTGGGCAACAGGTTTCTGTTTTTGTTTTTGTTTTTCAAGGTAATAAAAAAATAAGCATGAGCTGGAGCTGTATTTCAGTGAAATTATCCCAAGTGAGAGAAAGCAGAAGATGTTAGATTTGATGCTGTGTAGAAAAGAGAGGCAACTGACAGAGAAACAAGGTTGGTTCCCCTAGAAAAAAAAATAGAATCAAACCCATCAAACAAGAAATGGGCAGGAGAAGTCTATAAGGGCCACAGGCAGGAGGAGACCAATTTTCTGAAATACACTTCATGTTAAATTAACTACTCTCAGATTAGGATGCTGAATATATCCAATATATAAAAGTTAGGTGAGTAAAATTCAATGAGGATATTTCTGAATGTTTATAAAAAGGAATTTATAAATGAACAAATTCAAAATCGATTTCATACCATCAAAGGATTACCCTCTGGATGTGGAAGTGAAACTGGAATGTCATAAAGGTTAGCCAGTTCCCTTCATTTCTGCCAATAAGCACTACTTCTCAGTCATCAGAACCCCGGGGGTACCTGCCTCTGGGCTTCAGCTTACATAGATATTGTCAAGTCGGTGCCTTTTGAACAACACGATGAAACTGCCAAAGTTTGAACTATTGCAGGCATGAACTTATTAAAAAACAAAGGACAAACCATGGCATAATATTGAGTCTAATGAACCTGTCCTACAACGTCAGGATTGATAATACTCTCTCTTCCCCAATTTTTATGTAAATTCTTTGATGTAAACATCACATCCCAAGATGAATTCTGGTTTGTCACAAACTCATACACAATGTTTGTGAGTGTCTTGAGTGCCCTGAGGGCAAGGAATGCCTTCCTGCACTTCGCAAGTTCTTGGTATCCATCTGACTCTCAGACAAGTGTGCACCACACCTGTCTGAAGGCACCACAGGGATTCAGCCCCACCTTGAGTCTGCCCGAGTCCTTCCCACTCTGTGCAGGCTTTCTTGTTACTCGCAGATCACACTAATTTCTTTTCTTTTCTTTTTTTTGTTTAGATAGAGTTTCACTCTTGTTTCCCAGGCTGGAGTCCAATGGTGTGATCTCAGCTCACCACAACCTCTGCCTCCCTGGTTCAAGTGACTCTCCCACCTTAGCCTCCCGAGTACCTGGAATCACAGGCATGCACCACCACACCCAGGTAATTTGGTGTATATATATATTTTTAGTAGAGATGGGGTTTCTCCATGTTGGTGAGGCTGGTCTTGAACTCCCGACCTCAGGTGATTCACCTGCCTCGGCCTCCCAAAGCTCTGGGATTACAAGCGTGAGCCACCGCGCCTGGCAGATCACACTAATTTCTTCCTTCTAGGAACATATAGCACATTATTATTATTATTACTATTTTTCACGGTCCTGATTCCTTTTTATCTTATTTTTTTTAATATTTTAAGTTCTAGGGTACATGTGCACAACGTGCAGGTTTGTTACATATGTATACATGTGCCACCATGTTGGCGATAGCACAGTATTATTTAGTGTTCAATTACATTCTTCAAATTCCCCTCTTTCTTGTCTCTCCAAATATTTTCAAGTCTCTTACAGAAAAAAATGTGCCTTGTTTTTCTCCCAGATGCCTGTCTTTAGCACTTAGCATGGTGCTGAGGGTATGTGAAGTTGATTGGTTTGTGAGTGGAGAAAAAGGAGATTTCTAAAGCACTAGAAAAGATCCGCCTCTCCATGTATACCAACCTCTTGTTTGGTGTGAGCATGTCTGAGTAAAAAGCATAATCACATCAAACGTAGCCACAAGTTCATCACTTTACTTTCCCTGGAAGGCAGCTCTAGTAGAGGAGAACTGGCAAGAATTTTGAATTCAGAAAAATCTGGATTTGAAGCTTGACTCTAATCTTTACTAGCTTGTAACATTGGTCAAAGAGTCTTTCTCTGTTTCTGTATTTACTAGTAAAAGTATGAATAATACAAACTTCTTGAATGTTTTTGGAAATATTAAATGAGATAAGGCATTGGATATGCCCTAGCACGTTAGGATGAATGATGTTTATGTTGATTCTTTCTGTGCTAGTAACCAGTGACCATTTTTACCTTGAACTTTCTATTTCTCCCTGAAACTAATTTCTTTTTCTCTTGATATTATCTTTTGGAAAATATCAATGAAAGGAGCTTGTATGAGTAAAGTCTAAGGATTCAAATGCTGGGAGGGACCTGGAGTGCTGTGGGTTACTATCCCATGACTCCCTGTTTATTGTATTAATGGCCAGACTGGTAGTACTCCCATTCATACCTACCCATCCACTCCCAATTTCAATACAAATTTATATCTCTATAAATGACTAAAATACTATTGTGTTGGTTTTTCTTTCTTTTTTTTCTTGCTGCCACAACAAATTACCACTTACTTAAAGAACATAAGATTAAAGTGATAGATTTTAAAGCATAAAATAAAAAAAAAATTATTATCTTACCATTCTGTGGGTCAGACATTCACATGACTTTGGCCAAAATTTAGATGGTGGTAGACTGTGTTCTTTTCTGGAGGATCTGGGGATTTATTTCCTTGCCTTTACAGCCTCCAGAATTCTGGACTTGAATGGGAGTGACAGTGTTTTTCTTCTGGTAATGAGCATAGGTGTAGGCTGGTGCAATTAATAGTCACTACATGCAAGAAAGCAGAATCAAGGGAAATGAAGAGAAGCTAGTCCTGTTAACTTCAATTGACACTGAAATATCAGTCATCTCTGAAGTTGAATATCCATGAACTTGTCAGGTATATGTCAGGTATATTGTATGACATTTGTAAAAAAAAAAATTATATTAGCTTTAATTGAATTACTTCTCACTTTCTTTTTTCCTCTCTTGAAAATGTAGGTAGTGCCTTCTTTCACTGGGCCTCATGGCTCCCTAAATAATAAGATTCCAGATTAGTGTGTTGGATAAAATATAGTTGGGCTGGCCTCATTATTCTAATATATTTTAAAATGATAAGAGACTTGAAAATATTTGGAGAGGGTGTGTAATTAGACCACTTTCTTCCAAATAAAAAAACACTGATGAAACCTACAAGGAACTTTTTCCTACTTTGGATCTACTATCTTTGGATCAAAGTAGGATACACGTTCCTACCTTGTCTGATTCTAAATATATATGTTTTTCACATTACAATGACTTTTTTCTGAAAAATAATGAGAAATATTCTTAATATTTTACAAAATGAGAGATCCTTGTATATGAAATCAAATGTTTGATAATTAAATTGAATAATATATTTCTGTGATATATAATGATATCTTCTCACTTCCTAAAATAATTTTGTTTATTATCTTTTCCCCAGCTTTTTTGAGATATAATTGTCAAATAAAAATTGTATATATTTATGGTGAGCAACGTGATGTTTTGATATGTATATATTGTGAAATGATTACGACTGTCAAACTAATAAGCGTATTTATCATCTCACATAGTTGCCTTTGTGTGTGTGTGTGTGGTAATAACATTTAAGATCTATCCTCTCAGGAAATTTGAAGTATTCAATACAATATTATTAACTGTAGTCACCATGCTGTATATTAGATCCTCAGAACTTACTCATCTTGTAACTGAAAGTTTGGATACTTTGACCAACATCTCACTATTATCCTACTTCTTACCCATCTGTAACTACCATTCTACCCTGTTTCTACAAGTTTGACTTTTTTTGTTTTGTTTTGTTTTGTTTTTGAGACAGAGTGTTGCTCTGTCACCCACGCTGGAGTGCAGTGGCGTGATCTCGGCTCACTGCAAGCTCTGCCTTCCAGGTTCACGCCATTCTCCTGCCTCAGCCTCCCGAGTAGCTGGGACTACAGGTGTGCACCAGCAAGTCCAGCTAATTTTTTGTGTTTTTAGTAGAGATGGAGTTTCACCACGTTAGCCAGGATGGTCTCGATCTTCTGACCTCGTGATCCGCCCGCCTCGGCCTCCCAAAGTGCTGGGATTACAAGCGTGAGCCACCATGCCCGGCCCAAGTATGACTTTTTTAGATTCCTTACATAAGTCATATATGCAGTGTTTGTCTTTTTGTACCTGGTTTGATTCATTTGGCATCATGTCCTCCAGGTTCATTCATGTTGTTGCAAATGACAGAATTTTCCTTCTGTTTTAAGGCTGAACAGTATTCCATTTTATATATGTATATATACAGCACATTTCTTTCATCCGTTTATCTGACAATGAACACTTAGGTTGATTCCATAACTTGAATATTGTGAGTAATACTGCAACCAACATAACAGAGAGGATATCTCTTCAAGATACTGATATCACTTCATTTGAATATTTGCCCAGAAGTGGGGTTGCTGGATCATATGGTAATTCTATTTTTATTTTTCTGAGGAATGTCCAGACTGTTTTTTATAATGACTGTACTATTTTACATTCCCATGAATGGTGTACAAATGTTCCCTTTTCTTTACATCCTCACCAAGACTTGGTACTATTTGTCTTTTAGATAATAGCCATCCTAGCAGATATCAGGTGATATCTCACTGTGGTTTTGATTTGCACACACCTCCCTGGTGATTAGTGACATTGAGCACTTTGTCATACTTTCCGCCCATTTGTATGTCTTCTTTTAGACAATTTATATTCATGTCCTATGCCTGTTTTTTAATTGAGTTCTTTGTTTCCTTGTTATTGAGCTGAGTCCCTTCTATATTTTGGATATTAAACCCTTGTGAGATGTATAGTTTATACATATTTTACCCATTCCCTTCACTCTACTGATTGTTTCCTTTGTAGTGCAGAAGCTTCTCATTTGTCCAGTTTTGCTTTGTTGCCAATGCTTTGGAGATCTAATCCAAAAAAAAAAATCATTGCCCATTGCGATAGTTTGCTGAGAATGATGGTTTCCAGCTTCATCCATGTACCCTAGAACTTAAAGTATAAAAATAAAAAAAAGAAAAAAAAATCATTGCCCAGACCAATATTAAGAAGCTTTTTTCAAAAGTTTTCTTCTAGTAGTTTTGCAGCTAAAGATCTTATATTTAAGTCTTAAATCTATTTTGAGTTGATTTTTGTGTATGGTATGAAATAAGAGTTCGATTTCATTCTTTTAAGCTTTCCCAACACTCATTTGCCCACCACAGTTTATTGAGATAATCCTTTCCCCATGTGTGTTATTGGTATTTTTGCCAATGATCAGTGGACCACAAAAGCATGTGCTTATTTTTGAGTTCTCTAGTCTGTTCCATTGTTCTGTATGTCTGTTCATGCTGGTATCATACTATTTTAAATACTATAGCTTTATATTATATATTGAAATCAGGTTATGTGATACCTCCAACTTTGCTCTTTTTGCCGAAGATGACTTTGGTGATTCTGTGTCTTTTCTGGTTCCATATGAATTTTAGAATTTTTTAAAAAGTTTTTTTGAAAAATGCTATTGGAATCTTGATAGAGATTACATTGAATCTGTAAATTGCTTTGGGTAGTGAACATTTTAAAAATATTAATTCTTTTGATCTGTGAACATAGGCTATCTTTCCATTTATCTGTGTCTTCTTCAATTTATTTCATTAATGTTTTATAATTTTCAGTGTGTAGATATTTTACCTTCTTGGCTAAATTTATTCCTAAGTGAGTTTTTTTGGATGCTTTTTTAAATGGAATTGTTTTCTTTATTTTTTAAATAATTGCTGCTGTATAGCAATTGGTTTTGGTGTGTTAATTTTGTACCCTGTAACTTTACTAAATAGGTTTATTAGTTCTAACAGTATTTGGTAGGTATCTAAGGTTTTCATATATAAGATCATGTCATCTGTATGCAAAAACTATTTTACTTCTTCATTTCTGATGTGGATGCCCTTTATATTTTTCTCTTACCTCGCTCTGGCTAGGACTTCCAGTACTATTTTAATTAAAAGTGGTGAAAGTATATATCTTTTTCCTGTTCCCAGATCTTGCAGAAAACATTTTCAGCTTTTCACCAACGAGTATGATGTTAACTGTGGGCTTGTCCAATATGGCGTTTATTGTGTTGAGGTAGATTTCTTCTATATGCAGTTTGTTGAGAACTTTGTAATCATGAAAGGATGTCAAATGCTTTTTCTGCATCTATTGAGATAATCGTTTGTATTTTATCCTACATTCTGTTAACGAGGTGTATCACATTTATTGATTTGCATATTTTGAAGCATCCTTAGATCTCAGGAATAAATCCTTCTTGACGATGGTTTATAATCCTTTTAATAAGCTGTTGAATTCAGTTTGCTAGTATTTTTTGAATATTTTTGTATCTAAGATTTTTGTACCCATGATATTCTTTTCTTTTAGGATCTCTGTCTGGCTTTGGTATCAGGATAATGCTTGCCTCATAAAATAAGCTTGGATATATTTCCCACTTTTTAAGTTTTTGAAAGAATTTAATATAGAATGGAATTAATTCTTTAAATGTTTGATAGAGTTTACCAGTGAAGGCATCAGGTCTTGGGCTTTTTGAAAAAAAAGAAAAAAAGAAAAATGATTAACGACTCAATCTTCTTACTCATTATTGGTCTGTTCGGATTTTATGTTTCTTCATAATTCAGACTTGGTAGATTGTATGTTTCTAAGAATTTATCTATTTTTCTAGTTTTTCAAATCTGTTGAACTATTGATTTTCATAGTAGTCTCTCATGATCCCTTATATTCCTATAACATCAGTTGTCTATATTCCTATAACATCTTCTCTTTCATTTATAATTTAATTTACTTGAATATTTTCCCTTTTTTATTAGTGTAGCTAAAGTGTTGTCAATTTTGTTGATCTTTTCAAAAATTTAAATCTTAATTTTATGGGTCTTTTTTATTGTTGTCTCTATTATATTTATTTCAGCTCTCATTTCTATTATTGCTTTCCTTCTGCTAAACTTGGGCCTATTTTCTTCTTTTTTTTCTCTTGTTCCTTTGGGTGTAAAGATAGGTTGTTTATTTGAGTTTTCTTTTTTTCTTAATGGAGGCATTTTTAAAAACTTTCCCCTAGAACTCTTGTGTCCCATAAGTTTTGTCATGTAGTGTTTCCTTTTTCATTTGTCTCAACATGATATTTTTAAATTTTCTTTGATTTCTGTTTTGACCCATTGGTTTTTCAGATGTGGGTTGTTTATTTTCTACATATTTGTCAATTTTCCAATTTTCCTCCTGTCACTGATTTCTAGTTTTATACCGTTGTGGTCAGAAAAGATTTTTGGTATAATTTTAATCTTTTAAAATTTGCTGAGACTTGTTTTGCAGCCTAACATGTGATTTATCCTGGAGAATGTTCCATGTGGGCTTGAAAAAAAATGCACATTCTGCTGCTGTTGGATGGAATGTTCTATATATATCTGTTAGGTCTATTTGATCTATAGTGTTTTTTATGTCTGCTGTTTTCTGTCTGGGTAACCTACACATTGTAAAAAGTGGAGTACTGTGTTCCACTACTATTATTACCTTGCTGTATATTTCTCCCTTCAGTTCTGCTAACATTTACATTTACTATATATATTATAGTTACTATATATATATAAAAATATATATAAGCATATATATATAAAGTGCTTTGATGTTGGGTACATATGTACCTTAAATTGTTATACCTTCTTGATGAATTGACCCTGATATAATCATATTTTTTGACTTTTTGGATAGTTTTTGACTTAAAGTCTATTTTGTCTGCTGTAAGTATAGCCACCCATGCTCTCTTTTGGTTACCATTTGCATGAAATAGCTTTTATAACGCCTTCATTTTCAGCCTGTGTTTATCCTTTAAGCTAAAGTGATTCATAGGGAGCATATTGTTGGATCATGGTTTTTATCTATCCAGCCACTTCATGTTTTTTTATTGGAGAATTTAGCACATTTACATTTAAAGCACTTATTAATAGGTGAGAATTTATGGCTTTCGTTTTGTTATTTTCTTTTTTCTTTTCTTTTCTTTCTTTTTTTTTTAGACAGAGTCTCACTCTGATGCCCAGACCAGAGTGCAGTGCCTCAATCTTGGCTCACTGCAACCTCCACCTCCCGGGTTCCAGCGATTCTCCTGCCTCAGCCTCCCAAGTAGCTGGGATTACAGGCGCGTACTGCCAAGCCAGGCTAATTTTTGTATTTTTAGTAGAGAGGGGGTTTTGCAATGTTGGCCAGCCTGGTCTTGAATTCCTGACCTCAGGTGATCCACCCACCTTGGCCTCCCAAGCGCTGTGATTATAGGCGTGAGCCACTGCACCCGGCTGTTGATTGTTTTCTTACTGTTTTTCAGTTCCTTTGTTTCTTTCGTCCTCTCTTGCTGTCTTCCTTTGTAATTTGGTAATTTTTTTTGTAGAGGTAGAATTTAGTTTCATTCTCTTTATCGTTTGTGTACCTACTACAGTTTTTTTTCTTTGTAGTTACCAGGAGGCTAACATAAAATAACTTATATTCATAATATTCTATTTTAAGTTGACAACCTTTCACCATGAATAAAATCTCTAAGCTTTAATTTCTTCTCCTCTCATATTTTATGTTTTTGATGTCACAGTTTATATATTTATATAATGTGTATCCATTAACAAGCTACTATAATTATTTTTAATACCTTTATGTTAGTCTTTTAACTTTTATACTAGAGTTAAAACTTATTTACAAAACTTCATTACAGTATTAGAATATTCTAATTTTGACAATGTACTTATTTTGACCAGTGAGTTTTATATTTACATATGTCTTCATATTACTAATTAGTGTTTTTTTGTTTCAGCTTGAAGAACTCCCTTGAGTATTTCTTGCAATGCAGGTATAGTGTTGATGAACTCCCTCAGTTTTTGTTTGGAAATGTCTTTATCTCTCCTCCATTTTTTGAAGGAAAGTCTCTCTGCATAGTATTCTTGGTTGTTAGATTTTTTTTTTCTTTTAGAACTTTAAATATATTATTCCACTCTCCCCTGGCCTGCAAAGTTTCTTCTTAGAAATCCACTGATAATATTTTAGAAGTTTCTCTGTACGTGATAAGCCACTTTTCTCTTGCTGCTTTCAAAATTTTCTCTTTATCTTTGACTTTTGAGAATTTGATTATAATATGTCTTTGGAAAGATTTCTTTGGTACTCTTTGGGATTCATCATTCTAGATGTTCATTTTCCTCTCCAGATTTAGGAAGTTTAGTAATTATGTTTTTAAATAAGTTTTTTCCCTTTTTCTCTTTCCCTTCTCCTCTTAGGATTCTCATAATGTGTATATTGGTTTACTTAATGATCTCTCAAAGTCCTATAAACAACTTTTTACTCTTTTTTACTCTTTTTCCTTTCCATTCCTTTGATTGGGTAATTTCAGATGACCTCTCCATCTTTAAGCTCACTGATTCTTTCTTCTGCTTGATTGAATCTCCTGTTAAAGTTCTCTATGGAAATGTTTAGTTCAGTCATTGTGTTCTTTGTGCCATAATTTCTGTTTGGTTCTTTCTTTAATGATGTCTATCTGTTTGTCCAACTTCTAATTTTGTTCATTTATTGTTTTCCTGATTTCATTTAATTGTTCATCTTTGCTCTCTTGAAGCTCACTGCACTACTTACAATGATTATTTTGAGTACTTTTCAGTCAGTTCATAGATATCCATTGGTTTAGAGTTGGTCATTGGTGCATTATGTTGTTCCTTAGGAGGTTTCATGTTTTCCTGACTGTGATTCTTTTCATCTTGCATTAGTATCTGTGCATTCAAAGATGTAGGCACCTCTTCTAATCTTTGCACACTGGCTTTGACTTGGAAAGGCCTTCACCCATCAGCCTGTTTAAAAATTTTGGTGGGCCAGCTCGTGGGGTCCATGAGGTGAGATTGCTGCTAGAAAGTGTTTGGGCTGGACGGCCTGGTGTCTAGGTCAGAAGTTGGGTGGCCATGGTGCCTGGTACTACAGGACCTTCCCTAGTGCCTGGGTCTGCAATTATGGGCCTGGAAACTGGATCCACTAGTGAAGGCCTAGGTACTGGGATTGTAGGAACAGACCTATGTCCTAGGTCTGCAGAAGCAAACCTGGACTGTTGTGCTGCCAGGAACAGTCTGACATTGGAGTAGACATGCATTCTGAGACTATGGATGCTGGCCTAACTTTCTTCAGTGTCAAGTTTTTTTTTTTTCTCTTTCCAAGATTGGCCTATGTAAGTATTTATTTTATAAAAGGTAGTATTCTAATGAGTTATTAATCCATTGTTTTCAGAAATGAAGAAAACAGTAATAAAGGGCACATTGTGTTTTAAAAACATCTATTAAAAAATTATATGCCCAGCTGAAACTAACTTTTATATCAAATTGTCTATCTCATTTCTTATCCTACCATGAACCATAATTTTTTAAAGAGATGAATTCCGATAACATAAAATTAATCATTTAACAATGTATATCTCAGTGGCATTTAGTACATTCATAATGTGATGCAACCACTACTTTCATCTAGCTCAAAAATAAAACCTTATATCTATTAAGCAGTCACTCCCAACTCCTCCCTAACCTCAGGCCATAGAAACAACTAATCTGCAGTATATATATATATATATATATATATATATATATATATATATACACACACACACACACACACACACACATATGCACACATATATGTGTGCAAAACCACAATTCTGTAACAAAAGATATAGATATACATATATATGGATATATCTACATATATATCTATATATATGCACCTATATACTCTATAACAAAAGATATAGATATACATATATATAGATATATACATCTACATATATATATACACCTATATATATATACCTATATATGTAGATATATATACCTATATATGTATATCTATATCTTTTTGTTACTTGTGGTTTTGGTGTAATATCTAACAATCCATGGCCTAATCCACAACCATGAAGATTAACTCCTATATTTTCATGTAAGAATTGTATAGTTTTTGCTTTAATATTTAGATAATTAACCCATTTTGAGTTAAGTTTGTACAGAGTGTAAAAAAAGGGTCCAACTTCATTCTTTTGGATGTAGATATCCAGTGGTCCCAGCACCTTACGCGGAAGAGAATATTCTTTCCCAATTGAATGGTCTTGACACCCTTATTATAAACCAATTGGCCATAGATGTATATGTTAATTTTTTGGAATCTCAATTCTATTCCATTGATCTGTATTTCTATACTTACCATGTACTTTTGATTACAGCAGTTTTGTATTAAGTTTTGAAATTGAGAAATATTAAATCCTTTAATTTTACTCATTTTCAAGATTGTTTTGGCCATTTGAAAACACTTGCAATTCCCTATGAATTTGAGGGTGTTTCACTTTCTGGACACACTGTGGTGGTGGCTCTGTCTACACGTCTCTGGTTACCCCTGCCCCTGCAGCAGTTCTATGCCTGGGTCATGTGATTGTGTCTCCCTTGGGCTGGAATCACATGCCATGTCCCTGCCAGTATGAGTCACAAAGGTAGTTATGTTTCCATGATTTTGTTGGATAGTGCCTTAACTGGGGGTCTCTGCAATGGCTCCATGCTGACTGAGGTTTTATCACTCTGGGTTTGTAATAAGAAGCACAGTCCTTCTGATTTCTGAATTACCTTCAGAGGCATTTTTTCTATTCTCATAGAAAATGAATCCTGGCTTCTACTTAGATGGTTAACTAATCTTATTATGAGATAGTCATTTGGTCACACTCTTGGTCTTTTCCACTGAACACACTTTCTTATTCTTTACAATATGGATAGGCTAAGAATTTTCCACATCTTCAAGTTCTGCATCCTTTTGATTAAAAATTCCATTTTTAAGTGATTTCTGTCTTCTCACATCTTACTATGAGCAATCAAGGGAAACCAGACCACATCTTGACACTTTGCTTAGCTATTTCCTCATACAAATATCCAATTTCATCACTCACAAGTTCTGCTTTACACAAAACACCAGGGAATAAACTCAATTAAGCCAAGTTGTTTGCCACTTTGAAACAAATATGACCTTTCCTCCATTGTTCAATAACATGTTTCTCGTTTGTCTCTGAGACATCATCACAATTGCCTTTATCATCCATGTTTTAACCTAAATTTTGCTTCAAGTTATTTCACCAAGACGCATGAAAGCACATGCCCACACTAATGCTGATGATGATGGCCATATTCATATTGACCCCCCAAAATTCAAGACGTTCATCAACAAGATCTGAGTGCTACTCAGTAATGAAAAAATAGCAATATATTAATACATGAAGCAATATGGATGGATCTCAAAAATATAACCCTTCTACCTTAAATCAGGAAGAATTAGATACCCTGAACAGACCAATAACTCGCAGTAAGATTGAAATGGTAATTAAAAAAATTACCAACAAATGAAAGTCCAGGATGAGACAAATTCACAGCAGAATTCTACCAGACATTCAAAGAAGAATTGATACCAATACTTTTGACACTATTACACAAGATAGAGAAAGAAGGAACCCTACCTAATTCATTTTATGAAGCTAGCATCACCCTAATACCAAAACCAGGAAAGGACATAAACAAAAAAGAAAATGACAGACCAATATCCTTGATGAAAATTGATGCTAAATTCCTTAACAAAATACTAGCTAACTGAATCCAACAACTTATCAAAAAGATAATCTGCCATGGTCAAGTGGGTTTCATACAAGAGATGCAGGGATGGTTTAACATAGGCAAGTCAATAAATGTGATACACCACATATAAAGAGAATTAAAAACAAAAATCACACGATCATCTCTATAGGTGCATGAAAAGCATTTGACAAAATTCAGCATCACCTTATGAGTAAGACTCTCAGCAAAATCAGCATACAAGGAACATACGTTAATGCAATAAAAATCATCTATGACAAACCCACAGCCAACATAATACTGAATAGGGAAAAGTTAAAAGCATTCCCTCTGAGAACTGGAACAAGATAAGGATGCCCACTCTCATCACTCCTCTTCCACATAGTACTGGAAGTCCTTGCCAGAGCAGTCAGACAAGAGAAAGAAATGAAGGACATCCAAATCAGTACAGAGGAAATCAAACTGTCACTGTTTGCTGACAAAATGATTATTTACCTTGAAAACACTAAGTACTCCTCCAGAAAGCTCCTAGAACTGAAAAAAGAATTCACCAAAGTTTCTGGATACAAGATTAATGTACACAAATCAGTAGCTCTTCTATACACCAACAGCGACCAGGCAGAGAACCAAATCAAGAACTCAACAACTTTTACAATAGCTGCAAAAAAAAAAAAAAAAAAAAAAGAAAACAAGAAAAAACTTAGGAACATACTAACCAAGGAGTTGAAAGACCTCTTCAAGAGAAACTACAAAACACTGCTGAAAGCAATGATAGACCACACAAGCAAATGGAAACACACCCCATGCTCATGGATGGGTAGATACAATATTGTGAAAATGACTATACTCCCAAAAGCAATCTACAAATTCAATGCAATCACCATCAAAATACCGCCAACATTCTTCATGGAATTAGAAAAAAACAATTTTAAAATTCATATGAAACCAAAAAAGAGCCTGCATAGTCAAAGCAAGACTAAGCAAAAAGAACAAATCTGGAGGCATCACACTACCTGATTTCAAACTATACTATAAAGCCATAGTCACCAAAACATTGTGGTACTGGTATAAAAACTGGCACATAGGCCAATGGAAGAGAATACAGAACCCGGAAATAAACCCAAATACTCACAGCCATTTGATCTTCAACAAAGGAAACAAAAATATAAAGTGGATAAAGGACACTCTTTTCAGCAAACAGTGCTGGGGTAATTGGCTAGCCACATGTAGGAGGATGAAACTGGATTCTCATCTCTCACCTTATACAAAAATCAACTCAAGATTGATTAAGGACTTAATCCTGAGACATGAAACTATAAACATTCTAGAAGATAACATTGGAAAACCCTTTTGCAATGGCTTAGGCAAAGATTTCATGACCAAGAACCCAAAAGTGAATGCAATAAAAACAAAGATAAATAGCTGGGACTTAATTAAACTAAAGAGCTTTTGCATGGCAAAAGGAACAGTCAGCAGAGTAAAGAGACAACCCACAGAGTGGGAGAAAATCATCACAGTCTATACCTCTGACAAAGGACTAACATCCAGAATCTACAACAAACTCAAACAAATCAGTAAGGAAAAAACAATCCCATCAAAAAGTGGGTTAAGGACATGAATAGACAATTCTCAAAAGAAGATATACAAATGGCCAACAAACATATGAAAAAATGCTCAACATCACTAATCATCAGGGAAATGCAAATCAAAGCCACAATGCAATACCACTTTATCCCCGCAAGAATGGCCATAATAAAAAAATCATAAAAACAGTGGATGTTGGCATGGATGCAGTGAACAGGGAACACTTCTACAGTGCTGGTGGGAATGTAAACTAGTTCAGCCACTATGGAAAACAGTGTGGAAATTCCTTAAAGAACTAAAAGTAGAACTATTATTTGATCCAGCAATCCCACTACTGGGTATTTACTCAGAGGAAAAGAAGTCATTATTTGAAAAAGATATTTGCACATGCATGTTTATAGTGGCACAATTCAACATAGTGAAATCATGGAATCATGGAACCAACCCAAATGCCCATGAATCAACAAGTGGATAGAGAAACTGTGTTTTATATATACATATGATAGAATACTATGCAGCCATAAAAAGGAATGAATTAGCAGCATTTGCAGTGACCTGGATGAGAATGGAGACTATTGTTCTAAGTGAAGTAAGTCAGGAATGGAAAACCAAACATGGTATGTCCTCACTGATATGTGGGAGCTAAGCTATGAGGACACAAAGGCATAAGAATGATAGAATAGATTTTGGGGACATGGGGGGAAGAGGGGGAGGGTGGCAAGGGATAAAAGACTACAAATATGGTGCAGTGTATACTGGTTGGGCGATGGATGCACCAAAATCTCACAAATCACCACCAAAGAGCTTACTTATGTAACCAAATTCCACCTGTACCCCAATAACTTATGGAAAAATAGAAAATAAAAAAAAATTGCAAATTTGAAGAAGTCAAACTAAGAATACTATTGTAGTAGTCTGTTTTTGGTTGCTGTAAGAGAATACTATAGACTGGGTAATTTATAATGAACAGAAATTTATTAGCTCACAATTCTGGAGACAGAAAAGTCCAACATTATGGTGCCAGCCTTTTATGAGAGCTTTCTTGCTGAGTCATAACATGGCAAAAGGTGGAAGGGCAAAGAGAAAGTAAAAGAGCAGGCTGAGCCTGCCCTTTTATAATGGCATAATTTTACTCATGAGGATGGAGCCCTCATAGCCTAATCACCTCTTAAAATGGTCCACTTCTTAAAACTATTATAATGGTAATTAAGTTTCAACATGAGTTTTGGTGGGGACAAACATTCAAACCAGACTATTTAACCCCAAGTTGCCACAAATTCCTATCCTTCTTACATACAAAATACCCTAATTCCATCTCCATAAACCTGAAAGTTTTAACTCATTCCAGTATTAACTCAAAAGTTTAGGTCCTGATATGGTTTGGCTGTGTCCTCACCCAAATCTCATCTTGAATTGTAGTTCCCATAATTCCCACATTTTGTAGAAGGGACCCTGTGGGAAATAATTGAATCATGGGGGTGGTTCCCCTCTACTGTTATCATGGTAGTGAATAAATCTCATGAGAACTGATGGTTTTATAAGGGGTCTCCCCTTTTGCTTGGCTCTCATTCTCTCTTGCCTGCCTCCATGTAAGACGTACATTTTGCCTGCTGCAATGATTGTTAGGCCCCCCAGCCACATGGAATGTGAGTCAATTAAACCTCTTTTTCTTTATAAATTACCCTGTCTTGGGTAGGTCTTTATCAGCAGCATGAAAACTGACTAATACAGTAAACGGGTAATGGTAGAGTGGAGCGCTGTTGTAAAGACACCCAAAAATGTGGAAGTGACTTTGGAACTGGGTAACAGGCAGAGGTTGGAATAGTTTGGAGGGCTCAGAAGAAGATAGGAACATGTGGGAAAGTTTGGAAGTTTCTAGAGATCTGTTGAATGGCTTTGACCAAAATGCTGATAGTGATATGGACAATAAGGTCCAGTCTGAGGTGGTCTCAGATGGAGATGATGAACTGGTTGGGAACTGGAGACTTGTGGCATTTTGCCCCTGCCCTAGAGATCTGTGGGACTTGAGAGAGATAGTTTAGGGTATCTGATGGAAGAAATTTCTAAGCAGCAAAGTGTTCAAGAGGAAGCAGGGCATAAAAGCTTGGAAAATTTGCAGGCTGACAATGCAAGAGAAAAGAAAAACCCATTTTCTGGAGAGAAATTCAAATCTGCTGCAGAAATTTGCATAAGTAACAAGGAGCCAAATATTAATCACCAAGACAATGGGGAAAATGTCTCCAGGGCATGTCAGAGACCTTCCCGGCAGCCCCTCCCATCACAGGCCCAGAGGCCCAGGAGGAAAAATATGGTTTTGTGGGGCGGGCCCAGGCCTCTGCTTCTGTATGCAGCCTAGGGACTAGGTGGCATGTGTCCCAGCTGCTCCAGCCATGGCTAAAAGGGGCCAAGGTACAGCTCAGACCATGGCTTCAGAGGGTGCAAGCCCCAAACCCTGGCAGCTTCTATGTGGTGTTGGACCTGCAGGCGCAGAGAAGTCAACAATTGAGGTTTAGGAACTTCAGTTCTTCTGCCTAGACATCCAGGGGTTTCCAAACCTGAGATTGAATCATAGGAGTGGTTCCCCCATACTATTCTCATGGTAGTGAGTAAGTTTCACAAGAACTGGTAGTTTTATAAGGGTTTTTGCCTCTTGCTTGGCTCTCATTCTCTCTTGCCTGCTTCCATATAAGACATGCCATTCCCCTTTCTGCCATGATTGTGAGACCTCCCAGCCACATGGAACTGTGAGTTTATTAAACTTCTTTTCCTTTATAAATTACCCAGTCTCAGGTATGTGTTTATCAGCAGCATGAAAATGGACTAATCCAAATTCAAAGTCTCAACTCAATGAGATATGAATGAGACTCAAAGTACAATTCACTCTGAGGAAAATTCCCCTCCAACTGTGAGTCTATGAAATCAAACAAGTTATTCATTTCCAAAATACAATGGTGGGAGAGGCTTAGGATAGACTTTCTTGTTCCAAAAGAAAGAAACAGGTAAGAAAAAAGGGTAACTGGTCCCAAATAAGTACAAAGCCCAACAGAATGAACAACGTCAAACCTTAAGGCTCCAGAGTAAACCTTTGTTGATTCCAGGTCTTGCCTCCTGGACACACTGGGGTAGAAGTTGGGACCCCAAGGCCTCAGACAGCCACACCTCTATGGCTTGCTGGCTCAGTCCACATAGTAGCTCTTATGTCTGGGGTTTCATGCCTGAAGCTCTTCCAGTCTGGTGTGGCACACTGGCCGTTCTATAGTTCTGGTGTCTCTGGGGCAGTCCCACCCAACAGCCCTACTAGGTATTACCCTAGTGGAGATTCTCTGGTGATCCCAACCCCACAGTTCTGCTGGGCATTACCCAAGTGGAGGCTGTTTGCACTGACCCTCCCACCTTCATGGTCTCATTAGGCATTGCCCTAGTGAGAATGCTTTGTGGCAGCTCTATAGTTGCAGCATGTCTCTACAATATCCTTTGAAATATGGGTAGAGGCAGCCATGTCTCCACAGCTTATGCACTCTCTGTGCTTGCAGAATTAGCATCATGTGAACACCACCAAGTCTCATCACTTGCATCTTTTGGAGAAGCAGCTAGAGCCACACCTGGGCCACTTTGAGCCACAACTGGTGCAGCCAAAGAGTTCTGTGCTGGAACGTGGGGAACAAACACTTGAGGTGTGCATGGGAACAAATATTGTGGTCATGCAGGTGCCCTGGTTCTCTCTCTCTCTCTCCTCTCAACTTTTCTGCCTTCAAGGATGCAGCATTCTGGGCCTCTGCTGGGAAGCATAACCTCTAAGATCTCTGCAATACCTTCAATGTTGCTCAGCCATTGTCTTTTTAAATTGAATTGGAAAAGCTAATTCTCCCATTGTCTTGATGAATAGCACCTGGCTTCCCTCAGTCCATACTAATCTCCTTATCAAACATTCACTTAGTCAAACCTTGATTTTCTCTCCTAAATACATGCTTTCTCATGCTTTTCATGGCTAGGTGGGTGTATCAGTCCATTGTCATAGTGCTATAAAGAAATACCGAAGACTAGGTAATTTATAAAGAAAAGTAGTTTAATTGACTCATAGTTTCACATGGCTGGGGAGGCCTCAGGAAACTTACAACCACAGTGGAAGGCTTAGGGGAAGCAAGACATGTTTTACATGGCAGCAGGAGACAAGGCAGCGTCGGAGGATGAGGAGTGCCACACTTTTAAACCATCAGATCTGGTGAGAACTCACTCACTTTCACAAGAACAGCACAGGGGAAATCCACCCCCATGATCCAATAACCTCCCACCAGATCCCTCCCCTGACATGTGGGGATTAGAATTTGACATGAGATTTGGGTGGGGACACAGAGCCAAACCAAATCACTGGGGATTTTCCAAATCCTTACATTCTGCTTCCCTTTTAATTATAAATTCCATCTTTAAATTATTTTTCTCTGTTCTACATTTTAATATATGCAGTGAAGAGAAGCCACTCAGCACTCTAAATGAGTTTCTGCTTAAAGATTTCTTCCACCAGATATCCTAGTTCATCACTCTTAAAATCTGCGTTCGATCAGGCCCCCAGGCATGGACGCAATTCAGCTACGTTTCTTGTCACTTTACAACAAGGATGGTCTTTCCCTCAGTTTCCAAAAAGATATTCATCATTCCATTTGAGACCTCATCAGAATGGTCTTTACTGTTTATATTTCCACCAATGTTCTGATAACAATCACTTAAGTAATTTCTAAGAAGTTTCAGATTTTTGCTACAGTTCTCCTCTTCTGAGCTCTCACCGGAATTGCTCAGAATGTCGTGCTCATGGCAATGCAGGCTTTCTTTAGCACTCTCTTCAAAACTGTCCTAGCCTCTACTCATTATCTTGTTCCAAAGCCACTTCTACATTTTTAGGTATTTGTTATAGCAACACTTCCACTCCCAGTACCAATTTCCGTCTTAGTTCATTTTGTTCTGCAATAACAGAATGCAGCAGACTGGGTAACTTATAATGAAAAAAACATTTATTGGCTTACAGTTCTGGAAGCTGAGAAGTCCAATTCAAGTGCTGAAATCTGATGGGGCCTTCTTGCTGCATCTTTGCATAGTGGAAGGTGACAGGGAATCTTCACTTCCAATAGAACAAAACTATTTCTGGGAACACTTTTAATAATGGCATTAATGCATTCATGAGGGCTCCATCCTCATAACTGAATTACCTTCTAGAGATCCCACTTGTCAAGACTATCACTTTGGGAATTAGATTACAACCTAAGAATTCCAGAGGGGACGCAAATATTCAAGGCATAGGAACTAAAACTATATAATTCCACTTATGTGGGATTCTAGAAAAGGTAAAACTGTAGTGACAGAAAGCAGATCAGTGATGGCCTGAACCTGGCAGTCAGGGGAGAAAATAGACTAAAAAGGTCTTAAAGAAACTCTTCAATGAAACCACTTTGTATTTTTTAAATTTTTGTATATATGTTTTCGTTGTTGAGATGAGGTCTCACTATGCTGCCCAGGCTGGTCTCAAACTTGTTCTCCTTTGATCTTCCTGCCTCAGCCTCCCAAAGTGCTGATAATCTGGACATGAGTCACTGCGCCCAGCCTGGAACCATTTTGTATTTTGATTGTAGTGGTGGTAATGTGACTGCAAAGCAACTTTTTTTTTTTTTTTTTTTTTTTGAGACGGAGTCTCGCTCTGTGGCCCAGGCTGGAGTGCAGTGGCGCAATCTCGGCTCACTGCAAGCTCCGCCTCCCGGGTTCACGCCATTCTCCTGCCTCAGCCTCCCGAGTAGCTGGGACTACAGGCGCCCACCATCACGCCCGGCTAATTTTTTTTGTATTTTTAGTAGAGACGGGGTTTCACCGTGTTAGCCAGGATGGTCTCGATCTCCCGACCTCGTGATCCGCCCGCCTCGGCCTCCCTGCAAAGCAACTTTTAAAATTCATGAAAATATACACGTAATATAGATAAGTTTTATGTGTAGCTTATACCTCAATACATTTGCAAATGAACTAATCTCAAGAATTAAATGAAATTATATAAAAGCATATTTTAATAAAGAACTTTATGATATCTTTAATAATTTTTTATTGTCAGACTTTAGAATGTTTTTTAAATTAAATTTTATTCAAAATTAATTTTAGTTTTTAAATTATATATTTTTTAATTTTTATTTTTGTGGGTACCTACTAGGTGTATACATTTATGGGGTGAACTAACCAAAATATTTTCTTCAGGCATGTAATTTTTGATACAGGCATGCAATGCAAAATAACCACATCAGGGAAAAATGGGTTATCCATCCCCTCAAGTATTTATCCTTTGAGTTACAAAAATCAAATTATACTCTTTTAGTTATTTTTAAATGTACAATTAAATTGTTTTGTCTATAGTCACACTGTTGTGCTATCCAGTAGTAGGTCTTATTCATTCTTTCCAACTTTTTTTGGTACCATTAACCATCCCCACCTCCCCACTACTACCCTACCCAGCCTTTGGTAAGCATTCTTTTACTCTCCATCTCCATGAGTTCAATTGTTTTAATTTTTAGCTCCAACAAATAAGTGAGAACACTTGATGCTTGTTGTTTTGTCTGTCTTATTTCACTTAACATAATGACCTTCAGCTGCATTCATGTTGTTGTGAATGACTGGATCTCATGCTTATTTATGACTGAATAGTACTCCATTGTGTATAAGTATCACATTTTCTTCATCCATTTATTTGTTGATAAACACTAAGGCTACTTCCAAATATTGACTATTGTGAACAGCGCTGCAATAAACATGGGAGTGCAGATATCTCTTCAATATACTGATTTCCTTTCTTTTGGGTGTATACTCAGTAGTGAGAGTGCTGGATCATATGGTAGTTCTATGTTTAGTTTTTGAAGAAACTTCAAACTGTTCTCCACACTGGTTGTACTAATTCACATTCCCACCAAGAGTGTATGAGAGTTCCCTTTTGTCCACATTCTTGTCAGCATTTGTTATTGCCTGTCTTTTGGATAAAAGCCATTTTAACTAGGTGAGATGATATATCATTGTAGTTTTGATTTGCATTTCTCTGATGATCAGTGGTGTTGAGCATCCAGTTGCTTGCCAGTTTGCCATTTGTATGTCTTCTATTGAGAAATGTCTATTCAAGTATTTTGCCTATTTTTGATCAGATTATTTAATATTTTCCTATAGAAGTGTTAGAGCTCCTTATATATTCTGGTTACTAATTTCTTGTCAGATGGATAGTTTGCAAATATTTTCTTCAATTCTGTGGGCGATCTCATCACTTTGTTGATCATTTCCTTTGCTGTGCAGCAGCTTTTTAACTTGATGTGATCCCACGCATCCATTTTTGCTTTGGTTGCCTGTGCTTGTGTGATAATACCGAAGAAATCTTTGCCTACTCCAATGTCCTGGAAAGTTTTCCCAATGTTTTCGTATGGTTGTTTCATAGTTTGAGGTCTTACATTTTAGTCTCTAGTCCATTTTGGTTTGATTTCTTTCTTTGTATATGGCAAGAGATAGCAGTCTAGTTTCATTCTTCTGCACATGGATATTCAGTTTTCTCAGCGCCATTTATTGAAGAGATTGTCCTTTCCCAGTGTATGTTCTTTGCACATTTGCCAAAAAGAAGTTCAGTGTAGATGTTTGGATTTATTTCTGGGTTCTCTATTCTGTTCTACTGGTCTGTGTGTCTATTTTTTATGCCTGTACCATGCTGTTTTTGTTCCTACAGCTCTGTAGTATTATTTGAAGTCAGGTAATGTGAATCCTCCAATTTTTTTTTCTTTTTGCTCATGATAGCTTTGAATATTCAGAATATTGTGGTTCCACATAAATTTTAGAATTGTTATTTCTATTTCTGTGAAGAATGTCACTAGTGTTTTGGTAGCAATTGCAATGAATCTGTAGATTGCTTTGAGTAGTATGGAAATTTTAACAGTATTGCTTCTTCCAATCCATAAACATGGATTTTTAAAAATATATTTTTGTGTCCAATCTATTTTATCAGTGTTTTATAGTTTTCATTGTAGAGATCTTTCACTGCTTTGGTTAAGTTCATTCCTAGGTGTTTTATTTTATTTGTGGCTATTGTGAATGGAATTACACTTTTATTTCTTTTTCAGATTGTTCACTATTGACATATATAAATGCTATCAATTTTTGTATGTTGATTTTGTATCCTGCAACTTTACTGAATTTGTTTATCAGTTCTAATAGTTATTTGATGAATTCTTTAGGTTTTTCCAAATATAAGAGCATATCATCTGGAAACAAAGATAGTCTGACTTTCCAATTTGAATGCCTTTTATTTCTTTCTCTTGACTGATTGCTCTAGCTAGGACTTCCAGTACTATGTTGGATAACAGTGGTGAAAGTTGGCAATCTTGTTGTGTTTCAGATCTTAGAGAAAAGTCCTTTACTTTTTCCCCCATTCAGTATGATACTAGCCGTGTATCTGTTGTATATGGCTTTTATTATGTTGAGGTATGTTTCTTTATACCCAGATTTTTTATGGTTTTTTTTAATCATGAAAGGCTATTGAATGTTATCAAAATGCTTTTTCAGCATCAATTGAAATGAACATATAGCTTTTCTCCTCCATTCTGTTTGCATGATGTATCACACTGATTTATTTGCATATGTTTAACTATCCTTGCATCTCTGGCATAAATCCCACTTGGTCATCATGAATAATCTCTTTAATGTATTGATAAATTCAGTTTGCTATTATCTTGTTGAGGATTTTTGCATCAATATTCATCAGTTCTATTTGCCTATAGATTTCTTTTTTTGATGTGTCTTTGTCTTGTTTTGGTATCAGAGTAATACTGACCTTGTCAAATTAGTTTGGAAGTATTCTCTCCTCCTCTATTTTTTATAATAGTTTGAGTAGTATTGATACAAGTTCTTCTTTAAAGGTTTGGTAGAATTCAGCAGTTAAGCCATTGGGTCCCAGGCTTTTCTTTGCTCAGAGACTTTTTATTATGGCTTTTATCTCATTACTTGTTACTGTCTGTTCAAGTTCTGGATTTCTTCATGGTTCAATCTCGGTAGGTTGTATGTGTCTAGGAATTTGTCCATTTCCTGTAGATTTTTCAGTTTATTGTTGTTTATAATAACCACTAATGATCCCTTCAATTTCTGCAGTGTTAGTTGTAATGTCTCCTGTCACATTTCTATTTTTTTTTATTTTGGTCTTCTCCCCTTTTATTCTTCATGAGTCTGGCTGAAGGTTTGTCAGCTTTGTATACCGTTTCCAAAAACCAACTTTTTAATTGATCTTTTGTATTTTTTATTTTAAATTCATTTTTTTCTGCTCTGATATTATTTCTTTTCTTCTAATAATTTTAGGTTCAGTTTCCTCTTGTATTTCTAGTTCTTTAAGATGCTTTGTTAGTTTTTCTTGGTAGTTTTTCTTCTTTTTTGATGTAGACACTGATAGCTATATATTTCCTTTTTAGTACTACTTCTGCTGTATCCCTTAGGTTTAGGTATGTGGTGTTTCCATTATTATTTGCTTGAAGATTTTTTAATTTTCTTCCTAATTTTTTCATTGACCCACTGGTCATTCAGGAGCATATTCCACTTCCATGGAATTTCCATGTGTTGGTAGAGTTTCCAAAATTTCTCTTGTTGTTAATTTCTACTTTTATTCCATTGTGGTCAGAGAAGATGCTAGATATTATTTCAATTTTTGGAATGTTTTAAGACTTGTTTGGTGATCTATTCTTGAGAATGATACATGTGCTGAAGAGGAGAATGCTTATTCTGCAGCCTCGAGTAAACTTTTTTGTAAATATCTATTAGATCAATTTGTTCTACAGTGCAGATCAAATCAATGTTTCTTTGTTGATTTTCTGTCTGGGTGATCTGTCTAATGCTGAAAGTGGGTTGTTGATGTCTCCAGCTATTATTGCATTGAGGTTTATCTCTCTTTTTAGCCCTAATAATATTTACTTTATATATCTGGGTGCTCCAGTGTTAAGTGAATATATATTTACTATCATTATATACTTATCCTTGATCAGTCTATTTATCATTATATAATGACCTTCTTTGTTTCTTCTTACAGTTTCTGTCTTGAAACCTATTTTCTCTGATTTAAGTATAGCTACTCCTGCTTTTTTTTTTTGGTTAGCATTGGCATGGAATATCTTTTTCAATCCTTTTATTTTTAGTTTATGTGTATTCTTTATAGGTAAAGTATGTTTCTTTTATGCGACAGATCATTGGGTCCTGTTTTATCATCCATTTAGTCACTCTGTCTTTTTTATTGGAGAGTTTAGTCCATTGACTTTCTTTCTTTACTTTTTTTTTTTTTTTTAATGAGACAGGGTTTCATTCTGTCACCCAGGCTAAAGTGCAATGGCATAATCTTGGCTGACTGCAAACTCCACTAGGCTCAAGTGATCCTCCTACTTCAGCCTCCCCAATGGCTGGAACCATAGGCATGCAACACCATGCCCAGCTATTTTTTTTTTTTTTTTTTGTATTTTTAGTAGAGATAGGGCCTCACCATATTGCCCAGGCTGCAGTCCATTTACTTTCAGTGTTATCATTGACAAGTAGGAATTTACTCCTGCCATTTTGTTATTTATTTTCTAGCTTTTTGTGGTCGTCTCTTTTCTTTCTCTCTGTTCCCCTTTTAGTGGAGGCGATTTTCTCTGATCATATGATTTAATTTATTGCTTTTTATTTTTTGTGTATCCATCATATGCTTTTGGAATATCCATTGTATTTTTTTTTTGATTTGAGGTTACTGTGAAGCTTGCAAATACTGTCTTATAGCCCATTACTTTAAGCTGATTGTAATTTAACACTGATTGTATAAACAGTTAAATTAGTTAAAACTCTACACCTTTAATTTTTGTCCCCCTGCTTTTTAACTTTTTGTTGTTTTTATTTATTTCTTATTGTGCAGTCCATCTTGAAAAGTTGTTCTAGTTATTATTTGTGATAGATTCATCATTTGGTCTTTCTAATTAAGATAAAAATAGTTTATACACCATAATTATAGTGTTATGATAGTCTTTGTTTTTCTGTGTGCTTATTATTACCAGTGAGTTTTATACATTCAGTTGATTTATTCTTGCTAATTAACGTCCTTTTCTTTCAGAAGAAGAATTCCGTTTAGCATTTCTTGTAGGACAGGTCTGGTGTTGATGAAATCCCTCAGCTTTCATTTGTCTCGGAAGGTCTTTACTTCTCCTTAATGCTTGAAGAATATTTTCATGGGATATACTATTCTAGGGTAAAAGCATTTTTCCTTTAGCACCTTAAATATGTCATGCCATGTCATGCCACTCTCTCCTGGCCTGTAAAGTTTCCAGTGAAGAGTCTGCTGCCAGATGTATTGGAGCTCCATTGTTATGTTATTTTTTTCTTTTTTTTCTCTTGCTGCTTTTACAATGCTTTCTTTATTCTTGACCTTTGGGAGTTTGATTATTATATGCCTTGAGTTAGACTTATTTGGGTTAAATCTTCTTGGTGTTCTATAACCTTCATGTACTTGAATGTTGGTACCTTTCTCTAAGTTTGGTAAATTCTCTGTTATTCTTTTTACTAAACTTTCTGCCCTGTCTCTTTCTTTACTTCCTCTTTAAGGCCAATAACTTTTAGATTTGCTTGTATAAGTCTATTTTCTTGATTTTGTAGTTGTGCTTCATTTTTAAATTATTTTTTTCTTTTGTCTTCTCCGACTGCATATTTTCCAACAGCCTGTCTTCAAGCTCACTAATTCTTTCTGCTGCTTGATCAATTCTGCTATTAAGAGACTCTGATGCATTCTTCAATATGTTGATTGCATTTTTCAACTCTAGAATTTTTGCTTGAGCCTTTTTAATTATTTCAATGTTCTTGTGAAATTTATCTGATAGAATTCCAAATTTCTTCTCTGTGTTATCTTGAATTTCTTTGAGTCTCCTCGACACAGCTGTTTTGAATTATCTGTCTGAGAGGTCACTTATATAAATTTCTTCAGGATTGATGCCTGCTGTCTTATTTAGTTCTTTTGTTAAGATCATGTTTTTCTGGAGGATCTTGATGCTTGGAAATGTTCATCATTGTCTGGGTATTGAATAATTAGGTATTTATTGCAGTCTTCACAGCCCGGGTTTGTTTGTGCCAATCCCTCTTGAGAAGGCTCTCCAGGTATTTGAAGGGACTTAGGTCTCAAGCCCAGTAATACTGTGGTTTTTGCAGACTCATAGAAGTAACACCTTGGTGGTCTTGTATAAGATCCAGAAAAATTCTCTGAATTAACAGGAAGAGACACTTGTTCTTTCCCCTTACTTTCTCCCAAACAAATAGAGTCTCTCTGTCATGAGTCCCCTGTAACTAGGGATGTGATGATGCAAGCACCCATATGGCCACCACCACTGGGACTGTGCTAGGTCAGACCTGAAGCCAGCACAGCACTGGGTCTCACCCAAGACCCACTGTGACCATGGCCTGGGTACCACCTATGTTAACTCAAGGCTCTAGGGATCTCTCATTAGTAGGTGGTGAAGCCAGCCAGGTTTGTTTCCTTCCTTTCATGGCAGCAAGTTCCCCTATGCCTTTGGCAGGTCCAGAGATGGTATCTGGGACCAGGGATTGGAGTCAAAAATTTAGAAGTTTGCCTGATATTCTATTCTACCATGGCTAAGCTGACACTCAAAAGATAATACAAAGTCCTTCCCACTATTCCCTCCCCTTTCTAGAGTCAGGGGAATCTTTTCCTGTGGCCACCACCACCACTGGCCCATAGGTGTTCTGTCAGACCACTGCTGATGTTTACTTAAATCTCAAGGGCTCTTCAGTTAGCTTGTGGTGAATGCTACAAGGTGTGGGATTCACCCTTCAGGGCATTGGACTTCCCTCTGACCCAGGGCAGATCTAGAAATGCTGTCTAAAAGCCTAGGCCCGGACTCAGGGACCCCAAAACACTGCTTGTTGCTCTACCCCACTGTGGCCAAGGTGGCACCTGAGTTACAAGACAAAGTCCCCTTTACTTTTCCCTCTGCTTTTCTCAAACATAAGGAGTCATTCACTGTAGCCACCACAGCTCAGAATGTTCTTAGTTATACCTGAAGTCAGCACATCTCAGAGCCCTAGGTCCAGGGAGTATTATCTACATATCACAGCTGTTATTCAAGGGCTCTTGGGTTGGCAGGTGATGAATCTTGCCAGAACTGGGTCCTTCCTTTCAAGGGATTGTGTTTCGTTTTGGTCCAGGGTGTGTCTAGAAATGTCATCCATGAGCCAGGCATGGAATGGGAGCCTCATGACTCTGCCCAGTACCCTATCCTACTGTAGCTGAGCTGCTATCCAAGATGTAAGACAAAGTCCTCTTTACTCTTCCCTTTCCTCTCCTTAAGTAGAAAGAAGGAGTCATTTTCACTGTTGCAAGTTGCACTGCCTCGGGTTGGGGGAAGGATGGCACAAGCACTCCCTTAGGTGCCCTGGTCGGTGACTTACTAGTGATGTGCCACACTAGTTCTCCAGCTCTGAGCCCAGCCCAACACTTGTAATTGTCTAGGAATTGCAGTTCGTGTGTCGTAGACTGTCTTTCAAATTTATATAGGATTTAAGAGCACTTTGGCTCACAGTGGCATGGTTTGTTGAGAAACTCAAATTCTGACCACTGAGATGGGCAACTCCCCTCTGGTTACATCTAGTTCAAATGCTTCCTCTGTGCATAGGTGCTGACTGAGCCTAGCATTGCTTTGTTCTCTGCTATGATAGGACAGTACTGAGTTCATTGTAAAGTCCCCTAGTCACGGCACTCTCCCTCCCCAAAGTGTACAGACTATCCAAGCTGCATGGGGAGAGGGAAGGGGTGGTGTTAGTGATTCAAGGATATCTCTCTGACCTTCTTCAATGTCTATTTTAGCAATACGAAGTTAAAACCAGGCACTATGATAGCTCACCTGATTTTTGTTTCTTGTGATGGTGCTTTTCTATGTGCAGATAGTTGTTAAAATTTTGTGTTCCTCTGGGGGAAACAAGTGGTGCAGGCTTCTAGTTTGCAATCTTACTCTACTTCTGAAAACTTATAATAAAAGGCATTTATAAAAACATTCAATAATTACTTATTGAAAATAATAATTTGCTAATCTTGACATTCCTTTTGCTCTGTAATCTTACTTTGGCTTAATTTGGTCTTTTAGTAGAATGTATATATCAATAAAAGTTTTACTGTCTTAGATACTGTGAAGCAGTCCCACAGTAAACATCATCTTTATTTAACTTTTTGAGATATTGCCAGCTACTCTCATGTTTACTCCTTTAGTAATGGCCAGGGCCATAAAAACTCAATGGTAGAGTGCTGTTTCATACTACCTTAAAACAGCAGTATGGACAGCACTTTTGCCTCTTTCCTGCCACCCACAAAGTGTTACTGCCACATCATGAAAGGATCTGTCCTGTTTTTGGTTTTAATTGTAACTATAATCCCCTCCTTGGTGGTTCAATTGCATTATTTGAAATGTGGCAGAGCTGTGAGTTTGCATTGCAGCCACTTTACTGTGTGACACATTAAAAGGTGTAATCCAACTGAAATGTAAATGACTGTTCTTAAAACAAATTACAAATGTAGATAACAGTGCTGTAGAATAGCTCTAAGTATCAGAGAGACCATCCCAGACCTATTTCTTTCAGGTCCAAATTGCAGCCACACTGTTATCAAGGGTAATAGGGGGCTTCTAAGGCATGCTGTTGACAAGGGGATGGAAAACAGTGCTGTTAATCTCAGTTCCTGAATAGAAGAACAGACACATCACAGGAGGGAAGAGTAGCTTCTTAATATGCTCTAGCTATAACTCCCATAGATGCACCACACAAGATGTCTTATTAAAAATACTTTTCAAAATCCCTTCAAAATCAAAACCAGCAATCCTAATTTCTAGTCCATTGAGGAAAAGGAAAAAAATAATGATTTATTTTTGTTTATGACCATGATAAGCACTCACTATTATTGCCATTGTTGTTGCTACTATTATAAGTGAAGTTTGAGGTTTTAAGGAGTTGATGAGGAAAGAGGGATTAATCAACTGTTTATTTCCTTGACTTCTCTTTTCTCTTGGTAGAGGGTGATAAGAACCGATGCCTAGGATCATAGATTGATTCCTGTGGTGAAAGGATGTCTAGAAAGGTTTCCATATCTTGGGCTGCCATGGTTGGTTAACTGAATGAGTAGACCTAGCTTGTGAAATTCTAAACTCCGAATGCCAGGCCTGAGCTTACCACAAATGTATAGGCTTATGCATGTACAGATAAGAGCCTTCTGGTTTATTGGTTTGGATGTATTTTTAGTGGAATTACTTATATAACATTTATGTCTTTAGAGAGCACATTAATAATTTATTTCTCCTATATTTAAATAAACCTCAGACAGAGATAATTATTTTGTTTTCAGTTGCTGGATCAACTACCTTAAAAATACACAGATTAATTATCTTGCCTTTGTTTATTATGAACTTTAAATGGGTTGCTCCATTACATTTTAGGAAAAATCTGAATTTATTATTTTAGCATTAGAAGTTCTCAATGTTAAGGCTTCATCATTATAATTCTCAGCATCATCTTCTACTTGTCCTACAAAAGCTCGCTGTAAATTACACTAGTCTTCCGGAAATACCCTTTTCCCATTTCTCTCCATCTATTCTTCCTATGACATTCTTTATCAAATTATCTATCTTAGTTTCATTGATTGATCTTTCCATCATATCCATTCATTCATTAGACTATCATTTATTAAATAGTATACACTTCCTGTTGTGGATAAAAATTGACATAAATAAATTCGGCTATTGATACTTGTGTATGCTTCATGAAGTTCTAGTGCTGTGTTTTTCAGCTCCATCAGGTCATATATGTTCTTCTCTAAACTGGTTATTCTAGTTAGCAATTTGTCTAACCTTTTTTCAAGGGTCTTAGCTTCCTTGCTTTGGGTTAGAACATGCTCCTTTAGCTCAGAGAAGTTTGTTATTACCCACCTTCTGAAGCCCATTTCTGTCAATTTGTCAAAATCATTCTCCGTCTGGTTTTGTTCCCTTGCTGGAGAGGAGTTGTGATTCTTTGAAGAAGAGGCGTTCTGGTTTTTGGAATTTTCAGCCTTTTTGCGCTGGCTTCTCCTCATCTTCATGGATTTAGCTACCTTCGGTCTTTGAAGTCAGTGAACTTCGGCTGGAGTCTCTGAGTGGACGTCCTTTTTGTTGATGTTGATACTATTCCTTTCTGTTTGTTAGTTTTCCTTCTAACAGGCCCCTCTGCTGCAGCTCTGCTGGAGTTTGCTGGAGGTCCACTCCAGACCCTGCTTGCCCGGTTATCACCGGTGGAGGCTGCAGAACAGCAAAGATTGCTGCCTGTTCCTTCCTCTGGAAGCTTCATCCCAGATGGACACCCACCAGATGCCAGCCAGAGCTCTCCTATATGAGGTGTCTGTTGGTTCCATTCTCCCCGTCACTTTCAGGTACACCAATCAAGCGTAGATTTGGTCTTTTCACATAGTCCCATATTTCTTGGAGGCTTTGTTTGTTTTTTTCACTCTTTTTTCTCTAATCCTGTCTTCTTGCTTTGTTTCATTGAGTTGATCTTCAATCTCTGATATCCTTTCTTCTGCTTGATCAAAGTCTACCATAGGTACAAAGAGGAGCTGGTACCATTCCTTCTGAAACTATTCCAAACAATAGAAAAAGAAAGAATCCACCCTAACTCATTTTATGAGGCTGGCATCGTGCTAATACCAAAACCTGGCAAAGACACAGCAAAAAAACAAAAAAAGAAAATTTCAGGCCAATATCCCTGATGAACATTGATGCAAAAATCCTCAGTAAAATACTGGCAAACCGAATCCAGCAACACATCAAAAGGCTTGTCCACCATGATCAAGTTGGCTTCATCCCAGGGATGCAAGCCTGGTTCAACATATGCAAATCAATAAACACAATCCATCACATAAACAGAACCAATGACAAAAACCACATGATTATCTCAATAGATGGAGAAAAGGCCTTCAACAATATTCAACAGCCTTCATACTGAAAATTCTCACTAAACTAGGTATTGATGGAATGTATCTCAAAATAATAAGAGCTATTTATGACAAACCGCAGACAATATCATACTGAATGACCAAAAACTGGAAGCATTCCTTTTGAAAACTGGCGCAAGACAAGGATGTCCTCTCTTACCACTCCTGTTCAACATAGTATTGGAAGTTCTGGCCAGGACAATCAGGCAAGAGAAGGAAATAAAGGGTATTCAATTAGGAAAAGAGAAAGTCAAATTGTGTCTGTTTGCAGATGAAATGATTGTATATTTAGAAAACCCCATCATCTCAGCCCCAAATCTCCTTTAACTGATAAGCAACTTCAGCAATGTCTCAGGATACAAAATCAATGTGCAAAAATCAAAAGCATTCCTATACACCACTAACAGAAAAACGGAGAGCCAAATCATGATGAACTCCCATTCACAACTGCTACAAAGAGAATAAAATACCTAAAAATACAACTTACAAGGGATGTGAAGGACCTCTTCAAGGAGAACTACAAACCACTGCTCAAGGAAATAAGAGAGGACACAAACAAATGGAAAAACATTCCATGCTCATGGATAGGAAGAATCAATATCGTGAAAATGGCCATACGTCCCAAAGTAATTTATAGATTCAATGCTACCCCCATCAAGCTACCATTAACTTTCTTCAAAGAATTGGAAAAAAAACTACTTTAAATTTTATATGGAACAAAAAAGAGCCCACATAGCCCAGACAATCCTAAGCAAACAAAACAAAACAAAACAAACAAACAAAATACAACAAAAAAACAAACCTGCAGGCATCACGCTACCTGACTTCAAACTATACTACAAGGCCACAGTAACAAAAACAGCATGGTACTGGTACCAAAACAGATTTATAGACCAATGGAACAGAACAGAGGCCTCAGAAATAATGCCACCCATCTACAGCCATCTGATCTTTGACAAACCTGACAAAAACAAGCAATGGGGAAAGGATTCCCTATTTAATAAATGATGTTGGGAAAACTGGCTAGTCATATGCAGAAAACTGAAACTGGATCCCTTCCTTACACCTTATACAAAAGTTAACTCAAGATGGATTAAAGACTTAAACGTAAGACCTAAAACCATAAAAACCCTAGAAGAAAACCAAGGCAATACCATTCAGGACATAGGCATGGGCAAAGACTTCATGACAAAAACACCAAAAACAATGGCAACAAAAGCCAAAATAGACAAATGGGATCTAATTAAACTAAAGAGCTTCTGCACAGCAAAAGAAACTATCACCAGAGTGAGCAGGCAACTGACAGAAAGGGAGAAAATTTTTGCAATCTATCCATCTGACAAAGGGCTAATATCCAGAATCTACAAGAAACTTAAACAAATTTACAAGTAAAAGCAAACAACCCCATCAAAAAGTGGGTGAAGGATATGAACAGGCATTTCTCAAAAGAAGACATTTTTGCAGCCAACAAACATATGAAAAAGAACTCATCATCACTGGTCATTAGAGAAATGCAAATCAAAACCACAATGAGATACCATCTCATGCCAGTTAGAATGGCGATCATTAAAAAGTCTGGAAACAACAGATGCTGGAGAGGATGTGGAGAAATAGGAATGCTTTCACACTGTTGGTGGGAGTTTAAATTAGTTCAACCATTGTGGAAGACAGTGTGACAATTCCTCAAGGAGCTAGAACCAGAAATACCATTTAACCCAGCAATCCCATTACTGGGTATGTACCCAAATGATTATAAATTGTTCTACTGTAAAGACACATGCATACATATGTTTATTGCAGCACTGTTCACAATAGCAAAGACTTGGAACCAATCCAAATGCCCATCAATGATAGACTAGATAAAGAAAATGTGGCACAAATATACCATGGAATACTATGCAGCCATAAAAATGGATGAGTTCATATCCTTTGCAGGGACAGGGATGAAGCTGGAAACCATCATTCTCAAAAAAGAAACACAAGAACAGAAAACCAAACACCACGTGTTCTCACTCATAAATGGGAGTTGAACAATGAGAACACATGGACACAGGGAGGGGAACATCACACACTGGGGCCTGTCAGTGGGTGGGGGTCTAGGGCAGGGATAGCATTAGGAGAAATACGTAACGTAGATTACGGGTTTATGGGTGCAGAAAATCACCATGGCACATGTATACCTATGTAACAAACCTGCATGTTCTGCACATGTACCCAAGAACTTAAAGTTTAATAAAAAAAATTTGACACTAATAAAACAATGCAATTCTCAAAGTGCTCAAGGTCTACTTGGAGAGGACTGGGTGGAGAACAAATACAATCCTATCCATTGCATTAGACATGGTGGTGAAAATTTGTCTTCAGAACAATGCTGGCATTCACAATCATCCCAGCCCAATATCTGATATTTTATTTACTCACTCCACTGAACAAAATCTCTGGGAAAAATCTGGCCAAAAAGAGATTTTTTCTGGAGATTCTGTTCAGTTGAGTGAGTAGTGGAGTTAATCTCAAAGTATCATTGGAACTGTTTCTAAGTGGCTCATAACTCCTGAATTTAGGAATGACGATCAATCAATTGTGATATCAAGATCTTCATGAATAGCACTCACCATCTCTGAAGGCATCTCTTAAACTTCTGAACTTGCCAAACATGTAGTGAACAATTTTGGTGTGAAGTTGATCAGGTCTTATGGGCTAATGGCATCCCCTACTCATAAGCATGGAACACCACTGTGCACCCTGAAATCTCTAAGGACAGCAGCGGGGATTGTGGTGCCAAGCTGCCTAACAAAGTTACTAAAAATTAGAAAGAAAGAAGAAAGGAAGGAAAAGAAAAGGAAGAAGAAATAGCCAGAAATCAAACTCCAAAATTCTCTTTCTCCATGACCTTGATAAATTAGTCTAAACTCCAAAATTCTTTCTCCATGACCTTGATAAATTAGTCTATCTTCCTGAATGTCTTTCTTAGGTTGATTGGAAGAGATTGAGGTATATTATTTCTTAGATTATATCCACTCCAACACACTATTGGCAAAGAAGTTTCTGAGAGCTTCTAGCAACTTTGGAAATATAGTTTTTATAAGTAGAA
This sequence comes from Homo sapiens, assembly GCF_000001405.40. Classification (NCBI taxonomy): domain Eukaryota; kingdom Metazoa; phylum Chordata; class Mammalia; order Primates; family Hominidae; genus Homo; species Homo sapiens. The sequence continues at coordinate 103,063,253 of NC_000002.12, forward strand.
TTAAAATATATATAAAAGAAGATTATAAATGCATGGTACTGTCACCTAGGAACATCTTTTCTTAGTTGTATATGACCTCTAGAATCCTTTCAGTGAATAATAACAGTGTTCTATGTTTTAAAAAATTTAAATATATAAGTGTTTTCTTTCTTTGTGATGTAAACTTTGTTGATGTCACTCTTCATGCTATAAATTATTAGGGTAGCTTTGATTTTGTAGTTTGAATTCTATTGTATATAACCTACAGAAGAGAAATGGTATAAGAGATAAGGTATAATTAGATTTCCTTCTGATGCATTTTATTATTTGTTGCAGAATAAGACATGGCAGTTCTGTGTAAAAATTTTTAAAGTACTAAACCAGTTGAACATTAGCACATCAGAATCATATCATAACTGGCATCTCTGGATCCACAATCTGTACAGCCAGGGGGCTCTGACTGTCTTTGGTAGAAAAAAGAAATCACTTGTATCAAACTGTGGCTTATTTGGATGAGTACTTTTAATTATATTTTTATAAATGCAATATTATTTTGCTTAAGTAAGATGTAACTTTTACAAAGTTATTTTGCTAGACTTACAAGTTGAATGTCTACATGATTAGCTGTTCAAACTCACTCATGAAGATGGAAAGAGTCACTATTTTAAAATATGCAAGAGTGACAGACATTAACCATGGACCATCCCAGCCAGACTGGCAGTGTGACTGTCTTACTTAGAAGTGGCTTGAGTTGAGATTGTTTTAGTGGGCAAAGTGCCTCTGCTTACATACTTTCTGAGGTATTCTGATTTTGGTATTTATGTCACTTAAGAATGGAGACTCCAGTTATCTTTTGAAAATTCCATTAATTTGCAGTTTCAATTATGTTAATAATATCCATTTATTTCATAAACACAATTGCTGATTTCAGAGGTATAGCTTGGAATGAAAATTTTCATCTTTCACTCTGCAATATAGCTCCTGTTGTCCCCAAATGGGAACATAACTGATAGGCATGTTGACAAAATTCAATTCAACCTTTCAATTGTAATCAAAACTACTACCAATAGTATACACCTGAGGATTCAGAATTTCTACATGCCATTTTATATAATGCTTTATGATCATAAAGTTTGGCAAATTGCTATTTATTTATTTATTTATTTATTTACAATTTTTTCATAGAAGAAATGCAAATACAAATCACTGGAGTGTTTTATGCAATAGGTACTTTTATCCTCAGAAGCAACCATTTTTCCCTTTTCCACAACCTAAGATGTTTTAAAAGTATCAAGTTTGTCTTGTAATGATCAAAGTGTTCAGTGATGTTCACAAATGAAAGATAGGTTCTATTTCATTACAAATTCAATTCAATCACAAAGACAGCTGATAGCAAAAATCTGTAACAAATTGGGCAATTCAAGAAGCTATATTAATGAACACTGTGAAACACAGGGATCATTTGTGTAAATGAAGTTGAAAAATACACCTGTTGTTTCCAGTCCGTGATAATAATCATATATCTAGGCCATAGGATAAGGCCTGCTTTCTTAGTTCATGCCCATTAGGAAACAACCCTTCATTGTTACTTTGCATGTGGAAAGGGCTTACAAATGGTAGGGACTACAGGAAACGAAGCTGAAAGAATCATTTAGTGCAACTCTATACTCAGACAGGTGCCACTCTTAGACATTTTAATTAATCTCATTTGTTAGTTATACCTGTAAATCACACTGTTATCATTCCTGAACAAGGAATGGAAACCAGAAATTGTCACAGACTAAAAATAAAAGACCAAACCCTCAAATGGAATAGCCATATAAATTTACTGGCTTTGTTTCATAGCAGTACATTAGATTGAAATTAGATACCTGGAAAAATCCAAATTACAAGGAGGTCTCTTGTTTCTTTATATCACATTGACAGAAAACATGGTTTAATATAGCCCTCTAGGAAGGCTGCATATCATATACTAATTGTGTGTGTGTGTGTGTGTGTGTGTATGTGTAAGAGAAGGACATTTTTGAAATTATAAAGGGTCTTCTGTTTTAGTATAGTATGAGTATTGCTGTACAGCAAATCCAAGACTGATCCAAAGTCTTGTTAGAATATATCACCATGCATCTGGTTACAATACTGTCCAGCATCTGAATGATGGAAAGATTAGCCAAGAATACCAATGATTGAGAATAAAGAGGCTTTCAAGAGTATCCCAGCCTGGGTGGTGGTGGGGCGAGGGAGGTTCTACTTTTTTTATGTGTCTTGAAGGAATCACCCATGAGTAGACAACTCTATAACAAGATACCTGAATGAGAATATGACTGAGTATGCTTAGGGGTTAACTATATGTTCCACAGATAGTTAAAAAAATGACCAAAAATATCTAAACACCCCTTACTCAGCATCAAAACAAACCCATTCTGCCTTTTCAAGTCCAGCAACTTTTCTAGGTTTAGTATACTCTTCAGCCATAGTGTTGACTAGACTCTGCATCAGCCAATATAGATGCATTCTCATCAATATCTTCCTGAAGCATTTAGCATCAGCATCTCTACAGGCTGGAACTTTGATTAAGGTCAAGCCAAATCCCACTTTAGTTTTACTCTAGTGAACTGGTATATAAAACAATGTGAAGTTTTAATAAGCATTAGTAAGAGCTGTAGTTAACATAATAAAATCTGTTTTAAATTATTAAATGTTCAGAAATACTTTGTTATGATCACATTTACCAATGGTTGTTACCTAGAAAAATGTATCAATGGAACTTGTATATGAGAAATAGCTAAATTTGTGCCAAGTAAAAAACACACAAAAGATGCTCTTTTGATCAAATCTGAACTTTCAATTATCGCCTTGTCATGTTATCATTTGTCTCTTTAATCTCTAATTTAAGTAGCAAAATGTTCTATTTGACTCTTGAAGTTTCCATAATTTAAGGCAATTTAACTATATTTATAAATAAGATACAAATAACAGATAAGCATTCAAAAAATATAATTACAAAAATAATAAAAGTCTATGAAATAAGAAATTGTGACGTGCTGTTGCTTAAAAGGTGTGAAAACTCTACTAATAGTCTTCAAATCAATGATTTTTTTTTAACATTTTAGTAACATGAGCTATTTAACAATCTTATTAAACTATCTCCCCGTAAGATAAATCAACACACTTTATTGTATAAGATTTTATTTCTGGAAATTGGTTCTCTTTACATTCAGAATATTAGAATAATCTTTATTTTTGAATTTCTTAACGAATTATTGATCATTTTCTGAAAGATTTTGAAATTAACCCCCACACTGTGCAAATGAACTAAAATTAAATATTATTTTTGTCAAATGCAAATTTCAATGAGAAGGCTTTTTTTTTTTTTTTTTTTTTGAGACGTAGTCTCGCTCTATCGCCCAGGCTGGAGTGCAGTGGTGCGACCTCGGCTTACGGCAAACTCTGCCTCCCGGGTTCACACCGTTCTCCTGCCTCAGCCTCCTGAGTAGTTGGGACTACAGGCTCCCGCCACCGTGCCCAGCTAATTTTTTGTATTTTTAGTAGAGACGAGGTTTCATCGTGTTAGCCAGGATGGTCTCGATCTGACCTCGTGATCCGCCCGCCTCGGCCTCCCAAAGTGCTGAGATTACAGGCATGAGCCACCGCGCCTAGCTGAGAAGGCTTCCATTGTTTAAGGAGAAGGTGCATTTGAAGTTAGGGAATGGTCTTTGCTAAGGAAATGAGCTTTAGCATTAGATCATTTTAGCTGCTTTGATCTGACAGCATCAGAAACATCTAATATATTAGCTATGAGAGTACTATAGAAGTAAACTGAATCAAATCCCCCCTAACTTAGGTTGTCAGATGAGAGTAAGGTTCGGGTAAAGAACCACGTGAAATCTGCATGTTCATTCAAGTTTAATTTATTGTTTTATTAAAGCATTGTTTCTTTTGTCTGCAACTTAGGTTTTACAGCCTGCATTGCGAATGTTGTGTGGAGACTTTGCCATGTCCTCATAAGGACATTCACAATGGAAGCCTCTATGGATAGAGTCACTAGACTTCTTTTAAGTAATGCTTCTTGGCTGGTGACTAGGGCCCTGGTTAAAAAAAAAAAAAAAAAAGGACCGTGGAACTCCCAGTGGCCATACCAACCATGCTGTTTATCAATAATAGAATGTTAACTTGATTCATGTTACCATAGGTCTGGCATGTCCAGGAGCACTCACTCATCAAGTACATGAAATGTTACATAGGGGATGAGGCTGGGGCCAATCGTAAAAGCACATGAAGTGTGCATGAGCAATTGGACCACATTCCCATTGTGCCTATTCTTGCCTCCTGGCCATCCTCCTCCAATGTACACATCTAGACTCATCAGGAGTTCCATATAAACTCTCTGAATAAAGAGTAAAAATATCTGGCATGAGTTACAGGTGATTGGCATTACTAGGAAGAGAATGCAGGGGTGTTGCGTTATAACCCCATTTATTTACGAAAAACAAGATAGGATGGGGATTCTCCTCCTGGGCAGAATATCAACTTCTATCTTATCTTATAATTTATATTATACTGTAAGGAGATAGCTGAAGTATATAGCTACAGGAAATCACAAAATGTGGCAAAGAGTGGTCAGACAATTTAGGGATTTGGAAGGTGCAACATTGGTGGATTGATGATGAAGAGGAGGGGCAAGAGGTATGTGGATGGAAAGCTAGGAGCAATCTCAAAGTGTGAGAGCATTTGTGCCTGTTGTGACTGCTCATCAAAAGGCTCCTACTGCAAAAGAGGCTCCTCAGTAGCCATGGACATATTAGTCCAGCTGTGGATGCCCGAGAGTCTCTTTCAACAGACAATGCAGTATTTGCTCAATTGTCCATAATGACAGAGAAATAAACTATAGAGACCTGAGTGATCAGTGAGGAACTAGGGCTGCTGCTATGCTGTAGGAGTAGGGTGACTCGAGGATGGAGCACAATTGAACTCCTGGCATTTTCACTTGTAATAACATTGTTCAGAGATAAAGTTAGTGGAAGATGATGGTTACTCTACAGCAGAAAGATCACTAAGGAGTCACCTAACTCAGAAATGAAACAATGAAACAAAGGATACCCTCAGAAAAGTCATATATATCAACCATGGCCATCTGGGAACCAAATACTTTAGTCTCTGTCTATAGTTTCTTTCTTTCATATCACACACACACACACACACACACACACACTCTTGCGGTTTCAAATTGAGTGTGTTGGTGGTAATTAAATTTGAAATTTTTGTCCAAAGATGACAGAATTTTAAGACTTGATTTTTATCTCAATAAAATGAGGAATAAACATCACCAGGAATCCTAGGTTTTGTGTTAGATAGCTGGTCACATTTTGGAGGTCGTTCTTTGAGGAGAGGATGAATGTATTTCCATTTTTATAAGGGAGAGCTATATTATGTTGGGTGGGAATGCTTTTGTTTGGATGAGCTACTAATGGAAGAAGGGTGCAAACATTAGGTCACAAAAGAAATACTTTGTGCACATTTTCCATTCTCGTGGCCACTCAGCACACAAACTCTTATCATAGGCAGTAATGATGGAATTCAGACCCACTTCACTGCAGGATAAGCACTCAGAGATGCCCATTTTCCCAACCCCCTGGTGGCCCAGGAAGCACGTGGGCATTTTACTTCTACCCACAGATATGAAATTTTAGGTACTGGCCCAAGGCTATGGAGACAGTTTAAATTTATTCATGATACCAGAGTCAATGTTCTTGAAGCCAAGAATGCCAGGCCAGCGGCAACATTCTAATCTGATTGCTACAATGGCATGAACTTGGTTGTGTTTTATGCCATCTAGTCTTTCTCTTGCTTATCAGATCCTTTAACTTTATTTGGCAGTGTTTGCAGGGGTCCTCAAATTGTTATCATAGATAAATGATAAGTTTTAGTCACCTTTGATTCAAGCAGGAAAAGGGACTTTCATTATTAGAAGATCCCTATTTAACTCCCTTCCTCTCTTTTTTCCTTCCTTCCTTCCTTTCTCTTTCTTTCTCTCTCTCTCTTTCTCTTTAGCCTTTCCTTCCTTCCCTCCCTCCTTCCTTCCCTTCCTTCCTTCCTTCCTTCTTCCCTCCCTCCCTCCCTTCCTCCTTCCATCATCTTCTCACTCCTTCCCTTCCTCCTTCCCTCTCTCATCTTCCTCCCTCCTTTCCTCCTTCCTTCCACCTTCCAGACCTTCCATTTTTTTGTAAATACGATGTTTGATTCAGTGAATTCTGAAATCATAAGCATAAAACAGATATGTTTTCCAATAACTGCTTTTATGAAATTATAAAACTATGATTTTCCCCCAAGTCTTAAACATTTTTGTTAATTGCTATACAGCCTCATTTTGCCTATTAAAACTCAGGCCCTGGTTTTGAATTTGAGCAATTCTAAAAATGTGCTATTTCCTATCATTGGATCCTTAAGTATAACCTATCTGTTTCTCCCCAACCAAATGTGGCAGAGATGCAAGTAGAAGCATGGGCTTCCTAACAGTGACTGCACTGGGGTTTTGTTCTTTCAAATCTGAAGTCCCACAAGCGGGGCAAACACTGCAATATTAGTTCTGTGAGCTCTGGGCAATTAATAGTAAGTATCAAATGATGGGAAGGAATGTGAAGTGAAGCATAGTTCAACATTAGACTCTGTGAATATCCCTGGCCCAAAAAAACAAGGATGACTAAAATTACTGGGTTTGAGTTATATCAGTTCCTGAGCCTGAGAGGGATGAAGAGATCAAGGAGCAAAGAGGCTTTCCATGGATTTCTTACTGGACAGCCAGTGCCTCCTATCTAGTAGAGCCTCTGCCTTCCTTTTCACCTATGGGATTGCTGTAGGTAAGCATTCTAGAATCTGACATGAGCCCTCATGAACAAAACAAAATAAACAAAAACATGACAAGGCATGAAAGAGAACACAATGCTCATACAATAAAGACTGTTCTGAAAAAGTTGAAATAGAATACTTGAATTTTAACACAAAGAATAATTTTTAGGAATTAAATAGTATGACTTCCTTACCACAAATTCAGCAATGAACAGAAGGTGAGGATGAATTATTTTTCACCTGAATTAATTATCTGGGACACAAACTGTAAGAAATAAATCAAGATACCCAGAAAAAATATGAAGTGGTATTAGTCATACTAGTGATAATAAACCTATTATCGCTAGGTTTATTATCAGACTTTATGCAATGCTAGACGGTATAAGTGGATAACAGAATAAAGAGAATGTGACCTAAGAATTTTTTTACCAGCTGATATCTTGCAAGAAGGAAAGATATTAGAGAACATACTAGATATCAGTAAATGTGTTACACTTGTAACAAATTTGAGGAAAATACTCAAGAAAGAACACTAATTAAACAGCAAATGAACCAGGATACAGACTTGCTCAAACATTTTATCTCAATAGATAAGAACAAGCTGTCAGGGATTTTGAAAAATTAGTGCTCAATAAGAATTATTAAAATAGACAAGCTATCCTTTAAGAAAAAATTATAATAGTACAGAAGAAAGTGTGCTAAACCATCTGAGTTTTCCTCTTTTCGAGGAGCTGGAGACAGGGCAGGAGAAATGAAAGCAGCTAAATGTCTCATTTCTTAGGAAGTAATTATTCTTTAGAATTCTCTTATTAGGGAAAAGGGTTGGGATTGAGGAAGAAGAGCACCTTCACTGGTGAGTAGTATATCTTCATAGGGAAAATACTTCACATGTAGTACTGTAACAGTAGAGATATATGTGTTAATTATAAAAACAGGTAAAGGAAATATAACAGTTAAATGAAAAATATATGAAATTTCAAAATTAAAAAGGGGAAAGTGGAATGAACAGAAATGTCATCAAACATGCAAATGTAAGGATAATGATATGAAAACAGGAGAAGCAAAAACTGCCAGAACTGGTTTTAATAAATTTAGTTGTATTCTATTTGTGAAACACACACTCAAAAATAAAAGATACTTGTGGTTAAAAATAAAATTATAAGCATATAGGACTTATACAAATCCAACAAAAAGGCAGAATGGCATTGTTAATATCAAACAAAATGAGTTTAAAGTTAAATAATCTACAACTATCTGATCTTTGACAAACCTGAGGAAAACAAGCAATGGGGAAAGGATTCCCTATTTAATAAATAGTGCTGGGAAAACTGGCTAGCCATATGTAGAAAGCTGAAACTGGATCCCTTCCTTACACCTTATACAAAAATTAATTCAAGATGGATTAAAGACTTAAACGTTAGACCTAAAACCATAAAAAACCTAGAAGAAAACCTAGGCATTACCATTCAGGACATAAGCATGGGCAAGGACTTCATGTCTAAAACACCAAAAGCAATGGCAACAAAAGCCAAAATTGACAAATGGGATCTAATTAAACTAAAGAGCTTCTGCACAGCAAAAGAAACTACCATCAGAGTGAACAGGCAACCTACAAAATGGGAGAAAATTTTCACAACCTACTCATCTGACAAAGGGCAATATCCAGAATCTACAATGAAGTCAAACAAATTTACAAGAAAAAAACAAACAACCCCATCAAAAAGTGGGCGAAGGATATGAACAGACACTTCTCAAAAGAAGACATTTATGCAGCCAAAAAACACATGAAAAAATGCTCACCATCACTGGCCATCAGAGAAATGCAAATCAAAACCACAGTGAGATACCATCTCACACCATCTAGAATGGCAATCATTAAAAAGTCAGGAAACAACAGGTGCTGGAGAGGATGTGGAGAAATAGGAACACTTTTACACTGTTGGTGGGACTGTCAACTAGTTCAACCATTGTGGAAGTCAGTGTGGCGATTCCTCAGGGATCTAGAACTAGGAATACCATTTGACCCAGCCATCCCATTACTGGGTATATACCCAAAGGACTATAAATCATGCTGCTATAAAGACACATGCACACGTATGTTTATTGCAGCATTATTCACAATAGCAAAGACTTGGAACCAACCCAAATGTCCGATAATGATAGACTGGATTAAGAAAATGTGGCACATATACACCATGGAATCCTATGCAGCCATAAAAAATGATGAGTTCATCTCCTTTTTAGGGACATGGATGAAATTAGAAATCATCATTCTCAGTAAACTATCGCAAGAACAAAAAACCAAACACCGCATATTCTCACTCATAGGTGGGAATTGATCAATGCGAACACATGGACACAGGAAGGGGAACATCACACTCTGGGGACTGTTGTGGGGTGGGAGGAGAGGGGAGGGATAGCTTTAGGAGATATACCTAATGCTAAATGAGGAGTTAATGGGTGCAGCACACCAGCATGGCACATGTATACATATGTAACAAACCTGCACATTTTCCACATGTACCCTAAAACTTAAAGTATAATAATAATAAAATAAAAAAATAAAGTTAAATAATCTAAAACATTAAAAAGATAAATCATACCAGCTGTTTCTTATGACCCCAATATTGTGCAATGCTATTCATATACAGCAAGTCTAACATGGGGAAATTTATCTTGAAAACTCATTTATTCATCCTATCAACTTCCATTCAAGAAATATTTATGAAACATTTATGTGTGCTAAAAACAGATTCTGGAATTAAAATAGATAAAAAGTCCTTTTCACCTGGACCTTATGTTTGAGAGAAAAAAAAAAAAGACACGAAATCACAAGCTAGTATGCCACAAAAACATATCAGTTACATGAAGAACAACAACAAGCAATATAAAGATAATCTGATTAATATAACAGTATTGAGGAGCTTCAAAACATCATTTTCAAAGTTGGCTAAGTTTGTATAGAGTGTTCATTAGTTATTTTTGTTTGTTTCTTCAATCAGAGTTAATTTACCATCAGTTTAAAAAAATGAGTTATAAGATAGTATTTGCAAGCCTCACAGTAACCACAAGTCAAAAAACATACAATGGATAAATAAAAAATAAAAAGCAAGAAGTTATATTATAACACCAGAGAAAATCACTTTCACTAAAAGGAAGACAGGAGAAAAGAAAAGAAGGAAGAAAAGGCCACAAAACAACCAGAAATCAAATAACAAAATGGCAGGAATAAGCCCATACTTATCAACAATAACATTGAATGGAAATGGACTAAACTCTCTAATAAAAGAGCATAGAGTGGCTAAATAAATGAGAAAACAAGACCCAAGGATCTATTACCTACAAGAAAAACACTTAATCCATAAAGCATACATAAACTGAAAATAAAGGGATGGAAAAAGATATTCCATGTCAATGGAAAGAAAAAATAGAGCCAAGGTATCTATATTTACATCAGACAAAATAGATTTCAAGACAAAAACCTTAAGAAGAAACAAAAATGGCCATTATATAATGATAAAGGGGTCAATTCAGCAATTGTGAATATATATACACCCAATACAGGAGCACCCAAATATAAAAAGCAAATATTATTAGAGCTAAAGAGAGATACACTCCAATACAATAATAGTTGGAGACTTCAATGCCCCACTCTCAGCACTGGACAATCTCCCAGACAGAAAATAAACGAAGAAACATTGGACTTAATCTGCAGTATAGACCAAACGGACATAATTAATATTTACAGAATACATCATCCAGTGGCTGGAAAATGCATATTTTTCTCCCCAGAAAATGGATTATTCTCAAGGATAGAGCATATATTAGCTCATATGACAAATCTTAAAACATTCAAAAAATTTGAAATAATATCAAGCATCTTCTCTGACCACAATGGAATAAAACTAGAAATTAATAACAAGAGGAATTTTGGAATCTACACAAAAATATGAAAATTAAAGTGTATACTCCTGAACAACCAGTGGGTCAATGAAGAAATTAAGAAGAAAATTTAAAATTTTCTTAAAACAAATGATAATGGGAACAAAACATACCAAAACCTATGGAATACAGTGAAAGCAGAACTAAGAGGGAAATTTAGAACTAAGAGGGAAATTTATACCTGTAATTGCCTACATCAAAACAATAAAAAAGAAAAACTACAAATAGATAACCTAAAAATGCCTCCTAAAGAACTGGGAAAGCAAGAGCAAACCAAATCCAAAATTAGTAGAAGAAAATAAATAAGATCAGAGAAGAAACAGATTTCAAACCAAGTTTGAAATGAAGAAAATTATACAAAAGATCAATGAAACAAAAATTGTGTTTTTTTAAGAAAGATAAACAAAATTGACAAACCTTAACTAGAGTAAGAATAAAAGAGAGATGACTCCAATAAACAAAATCAGAGATGAAACGAGACATTACAACTGATACTGCAGAAATTCAAAATTTCATTAGCAGTTATTATGAGCAACTATATGCAAATAAATTAGAAAATCTAAAATAAATAGATAATTTCTTAGACACTTACAATCACCAAGATTGAACCATGAAGAAATCCAAAACCTGAACAGACCAATAACAAGTAATGAGGTTGAAGCCATAATAAAAAATTCTCCCAGCAAAAAAAACTCAGACCTAATAGCTTTACTGCTGAATTCCACTACACATTTAAGGAATAACTAATACGAATCCTACTCAAACTATTCTGAAAAATACAGGAGAGAATATTTCCAAATTCATTCTATGAGCTCAGAATTACCCTGATACCAAAACCAAAGACACATTAAAAAAAGGAAGCTACAGGCCATTATCCATGATGAATATTGATGCAAAACTCCTCAACAAATAATAGCAAACCAAATTCAATAATACATTAAAAAGATCATTCATTGTGAACAAATAGAATTTATCTCAGGGATGCAAGGATGGTCCAACATATGTAGATTAGCCAATGTGATACATAATATGAACACAATGGAGGACAAAAACCAGCCATTCATTTCAATTGATGCTGAAAAGCCATTTGGTAGAATTTAACAGTCCTTCACGCTAAAAATTCTAAAAAAAAAAAAAAGATATAGCAGGAACGTACTTTGACATAATAAAAGGTGTATAAGACAGATATACAGTTATTATCATACTGAATGGAAAAAAAACTGAAAGACTTTCCTCTAAGATCTGGAATGAACAAGGATGCCCACTGTCACCACTGTTGTTCAGCATAGTACTGGAAGACCTAGGTAGAGCAATCAGACAAGAGAAAGATATAAAGGTCAAAATCTCCTTGTTAAGCCCCACAGGCCCCCAAAGCTCAGTGTATCCCTCACTGAGGGTGGGGCACAACTCCCAAATAGGGGAGGTAGCATGATCAATAGTACCTGGACCCAAATGGTTCATCAAAGCAATAACAAACCAGGGATCACATGGCAGGGAGGCAGTCAGAGACCAAGGGCCACATCGTCTTCAGCTGCAGAGCTTCTGAGACACCAATATAGAAATCTATGTGAGGTCAGCTAGCATTAAAATAAAATCAATTACTATGTGCCAAGCCCTGAGTGTGGCGCCTCTGCCTCAAAACCCCAAGTGTTACCAAGCCTTGCAGGGGTTTGTGTGTGTGTGTTTTGGGGGTGGGGGAGAGCCTCAGAATCTGTTCCCCGACCACTGCATCAGCATCACCTGGGAACTTGTTGGAAATCCAAGTTGTAAGGCTCCAACCACTGAATCAGACACTCTGGGACCAGGCCCAATAGTCAGTTTTAAAGAATCCCCCTCCTGTGTGATTCTGATGCTGGCTCCAGAATAAGAATCACTGACCTAGCCCTGTTTTTGTAGGTGGAGAAACGGGTTCAGAGACTGTGCCACTTACACAAGGTCATAACTGTTAAATGGCTAGATGGGTTTTAAATCCAGCTTTGTCCATTCTAGAAACAAGGCTTATATATAGGCTTGCCCATTTTGGGATTAGAGAAGGAATCTTAAGAATCCCAGAGAGGAGAAGAGTCAAGGAAAGCCCTTTCACAGAGAAAGCTGGCCCAGACTTTAGATCTCTCTGTTCTTTGCCTCCCTAGCAGCCAGACATCCAAGGGCTGCTCACACTGTCACCCCACACACCCCACTGGAGGCTGGAGGGGAAAACACATCACTGTTGGGCTTCCTGGCAGTGACCTTTGTCTTTCAGAAGTAGGAGGCATGCAGGACACTCCCCCTGCCACAAAATACACAACTGGGAAATACTAGCAGGTATAGCCTCTAGTATGCTGTTAAATTCAACAGAAAATGGCACACCTCAAATGCGTGAAAACAGAAGCTAACAGGCAGGGATGGATGGTCCAAACCTGCCCAGCAGGTGTCCCATTGCTCAAACAGGCACCCACATCTCTGACGGGTTGCAGAACCAGTCCAGCGGTTTTGGGGTTCCACCCTCCCTGGACTGCAGGTCAAAGATCAGTTGGTGGTAACTATTTGGCTTAGTTTCTGGGTTCTTCATTCTGTTCCATTGTCTATGCAGTTACTTTTATACTAGTATCATGCTGTTTTGCTTACTATAGCTTTGTAGTATAATTTGAAGTCAGGTAATGTGATGCCTCCAGATTTGTTCTTGCTTAGGATCGCTTTGCCTACATGGGTTCTCTTTATGGTTCCATATGAATTTTAAGGTTATTTTCTCTAATTCCATATTAAATAATGTTGGTATTGTGATAGAAATTGGATTGAATCTGTAGATTGCTTTGGGCAGTATGGTCATTTTCATAATATTGATTCTTCCAATCCATGAGCATAAAATGTATTTTCATTTGTTTGTGTCATCTACGATTCCTTTCAGCAGCGTTTTGTAGTTCTCCTTGTAGAGATCTTTCACCTCTTTTGTTAAGTATAGTCTTAGGTATTTTATTTTGTGCAGCTATTACAACAGAGATTGAGTGGTTAATTTGATTCTCAGCTTGGTTGTTGGTGGTGTAAAGCAGTGCTACTGATTTGTGTACATTGATTTTCTAAAGTGAGACTTTACTGAATTTATTTATCAAAACTAGGAGTTTTTGGAAGGGTTTTTAGGATTTCCTCTGTATATGATAATGCCACTAGTGAAGAGAGATAGTTTGACCTCCTCTTTTCCAATTTGGATGCCCTTTATTTCTTTCTCTTTTCTGATTGCTCTGGCTTGAATGTCCGTTACTATGTTGAATAGAAGTGGTGAAAATGAGCATCCTTGTCTTCTACCGGTTTTTAGGGGGAATGCTTTCAACTTTTTCCCATTTAGTATGTTGTTGGCTGTGGGTTTGTCATATATGGCTTTTGCTATTTTGAAGTATATTACTTCTGTTACTAGTTTGTTGAGGGTTTTTATCATAAAGGATACTGGACATTATTGACTACTTTTTTGCATTTATTGTGATTATTGTATTGTTTTTGTTTTAATTCTGTTTATGTGGTGAATCACATTTATTGACTTGAATATGTTCAACCATCCCTGCATCCCTGGGATGAAACCCACCTGATTATGCTGAATTATCTTTTTGATGTGCTGTTGGATTCAGTTTGCTAGTATTTAATTCAAGATTTTGGTGTCTATGTTCATCAGGGGTATTGGTCTGCAATTTCCTTCCTTCCTTCCTTTCTTTTCTTTCTTTTCTTTCTTTCTTTCCCTCCCTCCCTCCCTCCCTCCCTCCCTCCCTCCCTCCCTTCCTTCCTTCCTTCCTTCCTTCCTTCCCTCCTTCCTTCCTTTCTCTCTCTCTCTTTCTTTCTCTCTCTCTCTCTTTCCTTCCTTCCTTTCTTCCTTCCTTCCTTCCTTCCTTCCTTCCTTCCTTTCTTTCTTTCTTTCTTTCTTTCTTTCTTTCTTTCTTTCTTTCTTTCTTTCTTTCTTTCTTTCTTTCTTTCCTTCTTTCATTGTCTCCTTTCCTGGCTTTGGTATTAAAGGTGATACTGGCTTCATAGAATGAGTTAGAGAGGATGCCTTCTTTTTCAATCTTTTGGAATAGTTTTAGTTGATTGGTACCAACTCTTCTGTGAATATCTAGTAGAATTCAGCTGTGAATCTATCTGGCCCTGGGAATTTCTTGTTGGCAATTTTTAAGTTACTGATTCAATCTGACTGCTTGTTATTGATCTGTTAAGGATTTCTATTTCTTCCTGATTTAAGCTAGGAAGTTGTATCTTTCCAGGAATACATATGCATAGAAGTGTTTCTAGTAGACTTTTGAATAATCTTTTGTATTTCTGTAGTGTCAGTTGTAATGTCTCCATTTTCATTTCTAATTTAACTTACTTGAATCTTCTTTCTTCTTTTTTTGGTTAATCTAGCTAATGGTCTATCAATTTTGTTTATATTTTCAAACAGCCAGCTTTTTGGTTCATTGATCTTTTGTATTTTATTATTTTTGTTTTAATTTCATTAAGTAGTGCTCTGATCTTTGTTTTTTCTTTTCTTTTGCTAGTTTTAGGTTGAATTTGATCATTATACCTCAGTCCCTGAGGTATAATGTTAGTTTGTCAATTTTTCATCTGAAAGAGTCTGAAAGAGACTTTTTTAATGCAGGCATTTAGCACTATAAACTTTCCTCTTAATACTGCTTTTGCCATATGCCAGTGGTTTTGATAACTTGTGTCACTATTTTCATCATTTTGAAGAATTATAAAATTTCCATCCTGATTTCATTATTAACCCACAAAATCATTCAGGAGCAGATAATTTAATTTCCATATATTTCTATAGCTTTGAGGGTTCCTTTTGGAGTTGCTTTTTAGTTTCATTACATTGTGGTCTGAGAAAATACTTGATACAATTTTGATTTTAAAAAATTTATTGAGACTTGTTTTGTAGCCCATTATATGGTCTATCTTGGAGAATGTTCCATGTGCTTATGAGGAGAATTTATATTCTGAAGTTATTGGGTAGAATGTTCTATAAATATCTATTAGGTTCATTTGTTCTGCAGTGCAGTTTAAATCCAGACTACCAGACCTCAAAATATACTACAAACTGTTACCACCAAAACAGTATGGTACTGTCATAAAAACACACACATAGACTAATGATGGAGAATAGAGAGCTCAGAAATTAAATCACATATCTACAGCCAAGTGATTTTTGACAAAGGTATCCAGAACACTCACTGGGGAAAGGAAAGTAACTTCAATAAATTGTACTAGAAAAACTGGATATCCATGTACAGAGGAATGAAACTAGACCTCTAGTTCTCACACTATAAAAAAATCAACTCAAAATGGGTCAAAGATCTAATTGTAAAATCTGAAACTATAACATATCTAGAAGGAAAAAAGGAAAAATGCCTCAGGATATTGGTTAGCAAAAATATTTTATGACTTTTGTAAGACCTTAAAAAGACAGGCGACAAAAGCAAAAACAAATAAATGGGATTATATCCAACTAAAAGACTTCAATACAGAAAAGGAAACAATCAACAGTATGAAAAGACAATCTACAAAATGGTAGATAATATTTTCAAACTATTTATCTGACAGGAGATTAATATTCAGAATATACAAGGACTCAAACATCTCTACAGCGAAAAAACCTGAAACAATCAAATTTAAAAATAAGGAAATGATCTGAACAGACATTTCACAAAATAATACATACAAATGGCCAAGAAATATATGAAAAATGCTCAACATCATTAATTATCAGAGAAATAAAAATAAAAACCACAATGAAGTGTCATTTCACCCCAGTTAGGTTGGCTATTATCAAAAATAATAAATGGTGGGAAGGATGTGGAGAAAAGGGAACTCTTATACACTGTTGGTGGTAATGTATACTAGTATTGTCACTATGGAGAAGAGTATGAAGGTTTCGCAAAAAACTACAAATAGAACTGCTATGTGACCCAGCAATTCCCCCTACTGGGAATTTACCCAAAGAAAAGAAAATTATTATATCGAATAGACATCTGCACCCCCATGTTTATTGCAGTACTATTCACAATAGCCAAGATATAGAATCAACCTAGGTGTCCAACAACAGAAGAATAAAGAAAATGTGGCATATATACACGATGGAATTCTATTCAGCCATAAAAAATAATGAAATCCTGTCATGTACAGCAATATGGAAGGAATTGGAGAACATTATGTTAAGTGAAATAAGCCAGGAAGGGAATAAACACAACATGTTCTCACTCATATTTGGAAGCCAAAAAAAGTCGATCGCATAGAAATAAGTAAAAAGTAGAACAGAGGATACTAGACGCTGGGAAGGGTAAGGGAAAAAGACGGGTGAGGAAAGATTTGTTAATGAATATAAAACTACAGCTAGAGAGGTAGAATGAGTTCTGTTGTTTCATACCACATAAGTATGACTATAGTTATGATATGGTTAGTCTGTGTCCCCACTGAAATCTCATCTTGAATTGTAGCTCCCATAATTCCCTCACATTGTGGGAGGGACCCAGCAGGAGATAACTGAATTATGGGGGCAGTTTCCCCCATACTGTTCTTGTGGTCATGATTAAGTCTCATGAGATCTGATGGTTTTATAAGGGGAAACCCCTTTTGCCTGGCTCTTTCATTCTCTTTTGTTTGCTGCCATGTAATGTGTCCCCTTTGCCTTCTGCCATGATAGTGAGGCCTCCCCAGCCAAATGGAACTGTAAGTCCATTAAACCTCTTTTTCTTATAAATTGCCCAGTCTCAGGTATGTCTTTATCAGCAACATGAAAACGGACTAATACAGGTTAACAAAAGTATATGATATACTTTTAAAGAGCTGGAAGCAGAATAGTGAACATTCCCAACACATATAAATGATACATGTTTGAAATTATATGTATTGAAATATCACTATGTAATCCCAGAATATGTAAAATTATTATGTCAACTAAAAATAATACTAAAAACCATTAAAATTAACAGAGAAGAGTAAGTGCCCAAGATAACCAAGAAACATATAAAAAATTACAGCAAGGAGTGTCTTGGAATAAGAATATACTAAAAGATGTTATGATCAAGTCAGTATGGTACTTGTGTAAGACTGAATAAATATCTTAAGTGAATGGAATCAAGAATTAGATACAAACATATTTGAAATTTAATATACAATTAAGTTAGTAGTTTAATTCAGAGAAAAAAACCTAAATGTTCCTAAACAATGAGGAAGTTATTCTAAACTAGACTTAAAACCCAGAAGATATGTAACTGTACAAAATCATAGCTGTATTGATTATGTTTATACATTCAAACATGCTGTATATAATATATATTAATATATATGCATATATATAATGGCAAAAATTATCACAAGTGAAATCAATAGACAAAATATAGATTTGAAACACAACATTTCTAAGACAAATAGGAGAAAAGGAGAGTTCTTAGAAACCAAGAAATAAATAAAAATAAACTAACCTAAAATGAACAAGGATATGAATAGACAATTCTGATGAAATCACATGAGTTCAGGGCAGTATGGCAGTAGGCTGAAGAGACAATTCAAAGACCAAATTTAATTGGCGCCAAATCATATGCTGCTAAATTTCAAAAGTAGCCACCGAATGCAAATTACAATAAAAATGTTTACTGTGTCTACCAAAAAAAACCTGAAAAAATGAAAATAGCAAAAATATTTTTGGCAGATATGTGGAAAAGAACATTTCACTACATTGCTGTTGAAGTGAATTTTTAATCCCTTTTGTCAAAAACAACATGGCTTTCAAAATTTTATAGTATAAAAATAAAAACACTATTGTGGACTTCTGGTTTTCAGTCCAGCAAGTAAAGAGCTTAGAAGTCTTCACTCCATCTCAATAAAGACTACAAATCTGAACAAACTGAAAACTCAATCACTCTTCTTACATCCCTCAGGGAAGTGAAGTCACAATGCATACTACTAACCCCAAATTAGAGAGACACAGGTGGATACAGAGTATCACAACTTACCACAGCAGAAACCCACAATCAGAAACTTCCATGGGAGTTAGTGCCAGAATAGGAAAACCAGTGCGGTAATCAACATATTGCTAGAAGTTCAGTGTGGACAAGCCTGAGACATTAAAAACAACAGGAAGACTCAGTCATCGGTGAGCCCTAGCACTTGTGAGTTTTATCACCTGGGACTCTACCAGGTCCTCACAGTGAATGTCGGAAAAAAAGTCCTCTTGGGCTTCTTTCTGGCAGAGAAGAAGAAAAGAAACCATTTTGAAATAAGCCAGAGCATACTGTTCTCCTTAACAAGTTCTTCCATCAGGAGAAACTATTTTACCAGAGCCTAAGCTACTGGGGTTTTGCCAGAGCATAATCTAGCTGGGGAAAGGGAAGTATTCAACTTCAGCCCTCTCTAGTCTTCCAAGTGGGGAAAAAGAAATACACAACTTCAGCTCCCTCCAGCCATCCTGTTGCACATAAAGAGAGAAAATGAACAAACAAACAAACAAAGGGAAACCTAAGAAGCACTGGTGAAGTTTACAGTCCAGGGCTTCAGGCTCACCAAAAGACTAAGACCTTCATAGACTTACAGAACACTTCCGCAACCACATGCACCTTACCGCCACATTCCTGAAGGCTTATTTACAGCAGTTCCTTTACCTAGAACATCAGATCTGGCTATCAAGGAAAAATTACAGAAATACTAAAAGGGAAAACAGTCTGAAGAGACTGAACTAGCATCAAAACCAGAGTCAGATAAAGTAGGAGTTTTAGAATGATCAGACCAGGAGTTAAAAAACAAAACAAAACAATGCTTAGTATGCTAAGGAGTTCAATGGAAAAAGTAGATAACATACAAGAAAATATGAATAATATAAACAGATATATGACATCTCTAAAAACAAATAAAAAAGAAATGCTAGAGATGAAAAACCCTAACAGAAAAAGAATGCCTTTTATCGGCTGTAATGTAGACTGAACATGGCTCAAGAAAGTATCTCTGAGCTTGAGGATCTATCTGTAGAGACTCTCAAAACTAAAAAACAAAGAGAAATAAATTTAAAAAGAAAACAGAACAGAACACAATATCCAACTACTGTGGGGCGAATATAAGGGCTTTAATTATAGAATACCAGAAGGAAAAGGAAGAAATAAAGAAAGAAAAGTAATATTTGAAGTATTAATGACTGACAATTTTTCCAAATTTAGGTCAGACATCAAACTACAGATACAGGAAGCTCAAAGAACACCAAGAAGGATGAAAGTGCCAAGAAAAAACTAAAGCATATCATATTCAAACTTCAGAAGATTAAATATAAAGAAAACAACTTAAGCCAGATGGGAAAAACACCTTACCTGTAGAAGGGCGAAGATAATAAACTTCTCCCCAGAAACCATGCAAGCAAAGAGAGAGTGAAGTGAGAAGATTTACAGGGTTGAGAGAAAAAAAATCAACCTAGTACCCTGTACAATTATTCCTCATAAATGAAGGGAAAATAAAGACTTTTTCAGACAAATTGAGGGTATTCATTGCCAGTAGACCTGTCTTGCAAGACATGTTAAAAGAAGTTTTCCAGAGAGAAGGAAAGTAATACAGGAAGAAACTTAAATCTAAATAAAGAAGGGAGAAGCATCAGAGAATGATTAAATAAAGTTAAAATAAAAACTTATTCTATTACTCTAAATTGATCTAACAGGTTACAATTTATTCAAAATAGTAGTGACAATGGATTCAACTATGTGTATATACACACATACACACACATACACAGGCTTATATGTGCTTATGAGAAATGGGCAGCAATAATACATAAAATGGGAGGTGGAAATTAGTATTATTTTGTTATTAACGGTAGTTCCACTACCCACAAAGCAGTTTAGTGTTATTTGAAAATGATCTTGGAGTAGCTGTAAATGTGTATTGCAAGCTCAGAGCAACCACTAAGAAAAGTAAAAACAGAAGGAAGTATAACTGACAAGCTAATAAAGGAGACAAAATAGAATAATATAAAACACTCAATTAAAAATACAAAAAAATTAGCCAGGCATGGTGGCGGGCGCTTGTACTCCCAGCTACTGGGGAGGCTGAGGCAGGAGAATGGCGTGAACCCCGGAGGCGGAGCTTGCAGTGAGCCGAGATGGCGCCACTGCACTCCAGCCTGGGCAACAGAGCAAGACTCCGTCTCAAAGAAAAAAAATATATATATATGTATAAAGCAGACAGATAAATATAAGAAAAAAGAACAGTGGCAATAAATAAAACACTAACAAATATGGTAGATATTAATTAAAATATATCAAAAATCATCTTAAATGTCAATGGTCTAAACTTATCAATTAAAAGACCCCCAAAAAAATGTGGGAGTGGAACAAGAAACAAGACCCAACTGTATGTTGTCTATCAAAAACTCATCTTAAGTATAAAGACACATATAGATTAAAAGTAAATGGATGGCGAATAATATAATGCATAAACATAAGTCAAAAGAAAGTTGGAGTAGCTATGTTAATTTCAGAAAGAGCAGACTCCAGAGCAAAGAAAGTTACTCAGCATAAAGAGGGGGACTACATAATGATAAATGGGTCAATACTTTAATGAAATATGGTAATCCTTAATATCTATGTGCCTCACACCAGAGAGTCAAAATACCTGAAGCAAAACTGATTAACTGCAAATAGGAATAGATGACTCCACTGTCATAATTGGAGACTTTTAACACTCCTCTATCAGCAACGAACAAATCTAGCCAGCAAAGAATCAGTTAAGGACATAGTTGAACTCAACAACTGGATAAATTGACATTTACAGAGTACTTCATTTAAGGACAGCTGAATACACACTCTACTCAAGCTCATAGGGAGCATTCACCAAGATAGATGCCATTCAGGGCCATAAAACATACGTTAAGTTTTAAAAACTGGAAATTATACAATGTCTGCTCTGAGACAATAGAATTAAGCTACAAATCACTAACAAAAAGATAGCTGGAAATCTCCAAATAATGGGAGACTAAACAACACACTTCCAGATAACACATGGATCAAAGAAGAAATCTTAGTAGTAATTTACATATACATTGAACTAAATAAAAATGAAAATACAACTTCTCAAAATTTGTGGAACGCAAGGAAATGAGTGCTTGGAAATTTATAACATTGAATGCCTATATAGAAAAGAAGAAAGATCTAAAATTAATCATCTAAACTTCCACCTTAAGAAACTAAAAAGAGAGGAGAAAATTAAATACACAGGAAGTAGAAGAAAAGAAATAATAAGGCGAAAGAAATTAGCCTCTAGCCAGGCTAATTAGGAAAAAAAGAGAACACAAATCACTAAAATCAGAGATTAAAGAGAGGATATCAGTACAAATTTTATGGCTATCAAAAGGATAATAAAAGAATACTATGAACGACTTGATCCCTACAAAGTTGATAACCTGGATGAAATGGACCAATTCCTTAAGACAAAATCTGCCAAAACTCACACAAGAAGAAATAGACTATGTAAATAGGCCTGTATCTATTAAATAATCAATAATTAATAACCTTCCAAACCTAAAACTACCAGGCCCAGATGGGCTCAAATTTTGATTAGATGTATTTTTATTTTGAATTCTAGCAAATCGTTTAAGGGGGAATTTACATCAAGACTTTATAATCTCTTTCAGAACATGGATGCAGAGGGAATACTTCTTAACTCATTCTTCAAAGCCAGGATTATTGTAACACCAAACCAGACAAAAATATTACAAGAAAAATAAAACTACCACAGACCAATACCTCTCATGAACATGACACAAAAATGTTCAATGTAATGTTAGCAACAATGTATTAAAAATGTATACCCTAAGACCAACTGGATTTTATGTGCAGGGTTGGTCTCATTAGAAAACACATTAATATAATGTATGATATCAACAAGCTGAAGAAGAAAACTTACATGATCACATTAACAGATGCAAGAGGGCATGTGACAAAATCCAACACTGATTCAGGATTAAAAACGCTCAGTAAAAGTAGGAATAGAGAACTTCTTCAACTTAATAACATAACATCCACAGAAAAAAACTCATTGCTAACATTAAACTTAAGGGTGAGAAACTGGAAGTTTTGCCACTAAGATCAGGAATAAGGCAAGGATTTTGCCTCTCATCATTACTTCTCAACATCATACTGGAAATCCTAGCTAATGATATAAGATAAGAAAAAGAAATAAATTTATTCAGATTGAGAAGGAAGAAATCAAACTTTGTTAACAGATGACATAATTGTCTATGTAGAGAATTTTAAAAAAACCTCATAACTAATAATAGAATTGGAAGAAAGTTGCAGAACAGAAGGTTAACACACTAGTCAAATTGCTTTCCTATATACCTATAGTAAAGAAGTGGAATTTGAAATGAACAACAAAATACTATTTATATTGTGCACAAAAATGAAATTCTTAGATATAAACCTAATGAAATATATCAAAAATATATATAAGAAAAACATGAAAACTCTGATAAATGAGATTAAAGAACTCAATAAATAGAAAGATATTCCATATTTATGGATAGAATGACTTAATATTATAGACAGTGTTTGTTCTTCAAAGCTTAATTAAGAGATCCAGTGCAATCCCAATCAAAGTCTCAGCAAGTTATTTTGTGGATGCAAACAAACTGATTCTAAACTTTATATGGATAGGCGAAAGACCCAGAATAGCCAACTTAGTGTTGAATGAGAAAAGCAAAGTCAGACTGACACTATGAGATTTCAAGATTTACTATAAAGCTACAGTAATCAAGGCAGTGTTCTATTGATAAAATAAACTGACAAATAGACCAATAGAACAGAAAGGAAAGCCCTGAAATAGAGCCATGTAACAGTAGTCAACCAATTTTGACAAAGGAGCAAAAATAATACAGTGGAGTAAAGGTAGTTTTTTTTTTTTCAACAAATGGTACCTGAACAACAAGATATCCACATGCAAAACAACTGAATCTAAACAGGGACCATACACTCTTCACAAAAATCAAACAAACAAACAAATAAATAAATAGCATGAGCTATGAAAGAAAGAATTGACAGGCTGGGATTCATCAAAATTCAAAAGTTTTCCTCTGTGAAGACACTGTCAAAAGAATGAAAAAAACAAGCTACGGACTGGAAAAACATATTTGCAAAAAATCATATTATATATATACATATATAATACATATATATAAATATATGTATATATAATATGATTATATAAGAATATGTGCATATACATATATATACGTATATATATGATTTTTTGCAAATATGTTTTCCCAGACTGTACATATATATGTGTATATATATACATACACATACATATATATATATATATGGGCAAAGGACCTGAATAGATATTAGGATGGTGCAAAAATTGTAGTTTGGACCTTGAATTTTAAATTATTATAACTAGGCTCAAACATATCTTTATTAATCAAAATAGGAACCAGTACAATCAACACATTTTTGCCAATGAAAAATGTTTGTTTATCCCTGCAGCATAAAAATCTGTGCTTCAGGATTCAGCGAATTCTCAAAAAATATTTTCTGCATCCTACTGGCTTTGGAAGTTTTTTCCCTGCAAAAAGTTGTCATGATGCTTGAAGAAGTGGTAGTTGGTTGGCAAGAGGTCAAGTGAATATGATGGATGAGGCAAAACTTAATAGCCCAATTTGTTCAACTTTTGAAACATTGGTTGTGTGACATGCAGGTTGGGCATAATTGTGCAGAAGCATTGGGCTCTTTCTGTTGACCAATGCCAGCTGCATGCATTGCAGTTTTTGGTGCATCTCATCGATTTGCTGAGCATACTTCTCAGACACAGTGGTTTCGCTGGGATTCCAAAACCTGTAGTGGATCAGACCCGCAGCAGACCACCAGACAGTGTCTATAATCTTTTTTGGTGCAAGTTTGGCTTTGGGAAGTGCTTTGGAGCTTCTTCTCGGTCCAACAACTGAACTGGTCATTGCTGGTTGTTGTGTAAAATCCATTTTTCATCGCAGGTCAAAATCCCATTGTTGTGTAGACTAAGAGAAGATGGCACTTCAAAACGATGATTTTTTTTTTTTAAATTATCACTCAGCTCATGAAGCACCAACTTATTGAGCTCTTTCACCTTTCCAATTTGCTTTAAATGCCAAATGACCATAGACTGGTTGACTTTGAGTTCTTCAGCAACTTCTCATTTCGTTGTAAGAGGATCAGCTTTGGTGATTGCTCTCAACTGGTCATTGTCAATTTCTGATGGCTGGCCACTACACTCCTCAGCTTCAAGGCTCTCGTCCCCTTTGCAAAACTTCTTGAACCACAACTTCTCTGTACGTTCACTAGCAGTTCCTGGGCCAATGCACTGTTGACACTGGTAGTTGTCTCTGCTGCATTACGACCCATGTTGAAGTCAAATAAGAAAATCGCTCAAATTTGCTTTTTGTCTAACATCATTTCAGTAGTCTAAAATAAATATAATATAAACAGCAAGTAATAAGTCATTAGCAAAAAAAGCAAGAAATG
The DNA here is from genome assembly GCF_000001405.40 of Homo sapiens. Classification (NCBI taxonomy): domain Eukaryota; kingdom Metazoa; phylum Chordata; class Mammalia; order Primates; family Hominidae; genus Homo; species Homo sapiens. The sequence continues at coordinate 103,088,488 of NC_000002.12, forward strand.
TGCATAAAAATGATGTGTAACATAACCACATTTATTTAAGAATGTGTTCCAATATCGAACGGCAAATATCAACAATGCAGAAAATGCAATTACATTTGCACCAACCATAATTACTTCTTCACTAAAGAGGATATGTAGATGTCAAGTAAGCATATGAGCAAATGTTCAGCACTTTATGTCATTATGCAATTGCAAACTAAGACAAAATGAGATACTATCAGGTTGGTGTGAAAGTAATGGCAAAAACTGCAATACTTTTGCTTCAATTTACATTACACATCTACCAAAATGACAAAAATCTAAAACATTGACACTGCCAAATGTTAGTGAGAATGTGGAGTAACAGAAACTTTTGTTTATTGTTGGCATATGGCAAAATGGTACAACCATTTTGGAAGATATTTTGGCAGTTTCTTACAAAACTGAATACACTCTTACCATATGATCCAGCAATCATGGTACCTGTAATTTATCCAAAAGAACTGAAAACTTAATGTCCACACAAAAACCTGCACAAGGATGTTAATAGCAGGTTTTAAAAAACTTTTATTTTATGCTCAGGTGTACATGTGCCAGTGTGTTACATAGGTAAACTCATGTCATGAGGGTTTGTTGCACACATTACTTCATCATCACCCAGGTCTAAACCTAGTATACAATAGTTACTTTTTGTGATCCTCATTCCCTCACTGCAGTCTCAAGCAGTACCCAGGGTCCTTTGTTCTCCTCTAAGTATCCACGTGTTCTCATCATTTAGTTTCCACTTATGAGTGAAAACATGCAGTATTTGGTTTTCTGTTCCTGTGTTATGATACTAAGGATGATGGCCTCCAGCTCCATCCACATTGCTGCAAAAGACTTGATATCATTCATTTTTAATGTTGCATAGTAACCATGTTATATATATACCACATTTTCTTTATCCAATCTACCATTGATGGGCATTTAGGTTGATTCCATATCTTTGCTATTGTAAACAGTGTTGCAATAAATATATGCATGCATGTGTCTTAATGTTAGAACAATTTATATTCCTTTGGGTATATACCCAGTAATAGGATTGCAGGGACAAATTGCAGTTCTGTTTTTAGATATTTGAGGAATTGTTACACTGCTTTCCAAAATGGTTAAACTAATTTATACTCCAACCAACAGTGTATAGGCATTCTCTTATCTCCACAACCTTGCCAACATGTGTTATTTTTTTACTTTGTATTAATACCCATTCTGTCTGGGGTAAGATGGTATCTCAATGTGGTTGTGATTTGCATTTAGCTAAAGATCAGTGATACTAAGCTTTTTAAAAATATGCTTTTTGGCCACATGTATATCTTCTTTTGAAAAGTGTTCATGTACTTTACCCACTTTTTAATGGGGTTGTTTGATTTTTGCTTGTTAATTTGTTTAAATTCCTTATAGATGCTGGATATTAGACCTCTTTGTCAGTTTAATAGTTTCCAAAAATTTCCTCCCATTCTCTAGGTTTTGTGTTCACTCCATTGATAGTTTCTTTTGCTGTAAATAAACTCTTAAGTTTAAGTAGATGTCATTTGTCAATTTTGGCTTTGGTTGCAATCACTTTTGGCATCTTTGTTATGAAATCTTTGCCAGTTCCTATGTCCAGAATGGTCTTGCCTAGGTTGTCTTCAGGATTTTTAAAATTTGGGGTTTTATATTAGTCTTTAATTAATCTTGAGTTGATTTTTGTGTATTGTGTAAGGAAGGGGTCCAGTATCAATCTTCTGCATATAGCTAGGCAGTTAACCCAGCACCATTTATTGAATAGGGAGTCCTTTCCCCATTGCTTGTTTTTGTCAACTTTGTTGAAGATCAGTTGGTGGTAGGTGTGTGGTCTTATTTCTGGGCTCTCTATTCTATTCACTTGGTCTACGTGTCTGCTTTTGTCCAGTATCATGTTTTGGTTACTGTAGCCATAAACATAGTATGAAGTTGGGTTGCATGATGCCTCCAGCTTTGTTCTTTTTCCTTAGGTTGCCTTGGCTATTTGGGCTCTTTTTTGATTCCATATGAATTCTAAAATAGCTTTTTTCTAGTTCTGTGAAGAATCTCATTGGTAGTTTGATAAAAATAGTGTTGAATCTATAAATTGCTTTGAGCAGCAGGGCTATTTAGATAATATTGATTCTTTCTATCCATTAGTATGGAAAGTTTTTCCATTTGTGTTATCTCTGATTTCTTTGAGCAGTGTTTTGTAATTCTCACTGCAGAGATCTTTCACCTCCCTGGTTAGCTATATTTCTAGGTACTTTACTCTTTTTGTGGCAATTGTGAATGGGATTGCATTCCTGATTTGGCTTTTGGCTTGTCTCTTGTTGGTGTATAGAAATGCTAGTAATTTTTGTTCATTGAGTTCGTGTCCTGAGACTTTGCTGAAGTTGTTTATCAGCTGAAGGAGCTTTTGGATCAAGACTATGGGATTTCTAGATATAGAATTATGTCCTCTTCAAACGTGGATAGTTTGACTTCCTATTTGAATGGTGTTAATTTATTTTCCTTGCCTGATTGCTCTGGCCAGGACTTTCAATAGAATGTTTACTAAGGGTGGTGAGGGAGAGCATGTGTCTTGTGCTAGTTTTCAATGGGAATTCTTCCAGCTTTTGCCCATTAAGTATGATATTGGCTTTGGATTTTTCATAGATGGCTCTTATTCTTTTGATTTATGTTCCTTTAGTACCTAGTTTATTGAGACTTTTTAACATAAGGGGGTATTGAATTTTATCAAAAGCCTTTTCTGCAGCTATTAAGATAATCGTGTGGTTTTTATCTTTAGTTGTGTTTATGTGATGCATCACATTTATTGATATGTGTATATGTTGAACCAACCTTGCATTCCAGGGATAAAGCCTACTTGATTGTTGTGGATTGGCTTTTTGATATGCTGCTCAATTTTGTTTGCAAGTATTTTGTTGAGGAGTTTTGCATCAATGTTCATCAGAAATGTCGACCTGAAGTTTTCATTTTTGTTATTTCTCTGACAGGTTTTGATATCAAGATGATTCTGGCCTCATAGAGTAAGTGAGTTGGGGAGGTGACCCTCCTCCTCAATTTTTTGGAATTGTTTCAGTGGGAATGGTACCAGGTTTTCTTTGTACATCTGGTAGAATTTAGCTGTGAATCCATCTGGTCCCAGGCCTTTTTTGGTTGGTAGGTTATTTATTACTAATTCAACTTGGAAGCTCATTATTGGTCGTTCAGAATTTTTTTTTTCTGGTTCAGTCTTAGGAAGGTGTATGTGTCCATGAATTCATCCATTTCACCTAAGTTTTGTAGTTTGTATGCATAGAGGTATTTGTTGTAGTATCTGATGGTTGTCTGTATTTCTGTGGGGTCAGTGGTAACTTCTCCTTTGTTATTTCTGATTGTGTTTATTTGGATCTTCTCTCTTTTCTTCTTTATATGTCTAGATAGTGACCTGTTCACCTTATTATTTTTTCAAAAAACCAACTCATGGATTCATTGATCTTTTGAGTTGTTTTTTCATGTCTTGATTTCCTTCCTTTCAGTTCTTATTTTTGTTATTTCTTATTTTCTGCTAGCTTTGAGGTTGGTTTGTTCTTGCTTCTCTAGTTAATTTGGTTGTGGTGTTAGGTTGTTAACTTTATAAAATTCTCTCTTAACACTGCATTATCTGTGTACTAGAGATTCTAGTATGTTGTAACTTTTTTCTCATTAGTTTCAAAGAATTTCTTGATTTCCTCCTTAATTTCATTATTTACCCAAAAGTTATTCAGGAGCAGGTTATTTAATTTCCATGTAATTGCATGGTTTTAAGCAATTTTTTTTAGTCTTGATTTCCATTTTATTGCACTGTTATCCAATAGTCTGTTTGATTGATGTTGGTTCTTTTGCATTTGCTAAGGATTGTTTTATAACTGATTGTGTGGCTGATTTTAGAATATGTGTCATGTAGTGACAAGAAGAATGCATATTCTGTTGTTTTGGGGTGGAAAGTTGTGTACAGGTCTATTAAATTCATTTGTTCCAATGTGAGTTTAAGTCCTGAATATCTTTGTTAATTTTCTGCCTCAATGATCTATCTCATACTGTCAGTGAAATGCTGAAGTTTCCCACTATTACTTTGTGAGAATCTATGTCTCTTTGAAGGTCTCTGAGAACTTGCTTTATGATTATGGGTTCTCCAGTGTTGGGTGCATATATACTTGGAACAGTTGAATCTTCTTCTTGAATCTAATTCTTTACAAATGCTCTTCTTTGCCTTTTTTGATGTTTGCTGGTTTAAAGTCTGTGTGTCTGAAATTAGGATTGCAACTCCTGCTTTTTTCTGTTTTTAATTTGCTTGGTAGGTTTTCATCTACCCCTTTATTTTGAGCCTCTGGATGTCATTGCCTGTGAGATGGGTCTCTTCAAGATAGCATATCAATGGGTCTTGAGTCTTTATGTTGCTTGCCACTCTGTGCCATTTTAATGGGGCATTTACCCTGTTTACATTCAAGGTTAGTATTGATACGTGTGGATTTGATTCTGTAATTGGGTTATTAGCTGTTTATGATATAGGCTTGTTTGTGTGGTTGCTTTATAGTGTTACTGATCTGTGTACTTGAGTGTTTTTTTTTTTTTTGTATTAATGGTACTTGTCTTTCCTTTCCATATTTGGTGCTCCTTTCAAGATCTTTTGTAAGGCACATCTGGTGGTAATGAACTCTCTCAGCATTTGCTGAGAAAGATCTTATTTCTCTTTTGCTGAGAAAGCTTAGTTTGCTGGGATATATAATTTTTGGTTGAAGATTTTTTCTTTAAGAATGTTCAATATAGGCCCCATCTCTTCTGGCTTGTAGGGTTTCTGCTGAGAGGTCTACTGTTAGTCTGATGGTGTTCCCTTTATAGGTGACTTGGCCTTTCTCTCTAACTGCCTTTAATATCCTTCCTTTCATGTTGACCTTGGAAACTTGATTATGTGTCTTGCTAATGATCTTTTTGTATAGAATCTTGCAGTGGTCCCCTATATTTTCTGAATTTGACTGTTGGCCGTTCTAGAGAGTTTGGAGACATTCTCATGGTTGATATCTTGAAATATGTTTTCCAAGTTATTTGCTTCCTTCCCATCCCTTCAGGGATGCCAGTGATTCATAGGTTTGACCTCTTTGCACAATCTGATATTTTTCAGAGTTTATGTTCATTCCTTTTCACTGTTCTTTTCTTTTTTTAAATTTTTGTCTTCCTGTCTTATTTCAGACAGCCAGTCTTTAAGGTCTAAGATTCTTTCCTCAGCTTGGTCTGTTTTGCTGTTAATACTTATTATTGCCTTGTGAAATTTTTGTAGTGTTTTTCAGCTTCATCATGTATGTCAGGTTTTTTTTTTTTCATACTGGCTATTTCATCTATCAGTTCCTGTATCACTTTATTGTGATTCTTAGTTTCCTTTGATTGAGCTTTTATGTTCTGAATCTCAATGGTCTTCAGGTCGGGTGGGGGCAGGTTGGTTTGCTGAAGTCCCATGTCAAGAGGACCTTCCCAGTGAGAAGTGAGACTGAGATCTGCATAAGGAATAGTCTGAACACTTTTCCATGAGGCGAGCGCTCTATAGCATGGGTCTGGACCAGTCCCTCATTCCCACAGACTTTCCTGAGCCTGGAGACAGCAAGAGCAAGGCTGCAAGACAGCAAAGATGGCAACCTGCTCCTCACAATGGGAGCTGTGTCCCAGGGAATTGCAGAGCTGCTACTGGCTCAATAGTTCCAGTGGGGAGTTGCTGAAGACTCAGGCTGTGAGGACTCACCCAGCGAGGAGATATGGGATCGGGAACCCATGTAACAGTCTGGCCACTTTTTCACAGGGCTGTTGCAGTATGCTGGGGTTCACTTCAATCCCTAGTCACCTCGGATTTTCTAGTACCTGAAGGTATCAACAGTGAAGGCTGTGAAACGGCAAAGATGCCAGCCTGCTTCTCCTAGAAGCTTTGTCCTGGGGAGATATGGACTTGTTGCTGGCCCAAACATACTCCTAGAGGTGGCTGGGGACTCTTGTTGGGAGGTCCTGCTCAGTGTGGAGAAATGTGATCAGGGATCTGTGTGCAAAAGCAATCTGGCTGCTTTTTCATAGAGTAGCTGTGCTGTTTTGGGGGTCTGCTCCAGCCTCAATTGCCCCAGACACTCCAAAGGAAACAATGGCTAGGGACGAAAAACAGCAAAGATGGTGACCACCTGTTCCTCCCTTTGGGAGTTCTGTCCCAGGAAGATTTGGAACTGCTGCAAGCTGGAAAACACTGGTGGAGGTGTTTGCAGAATTAGGTCAGGAGATTTTGCCCAGTGAAGAGAAATGGTATCTTGGCCCCGTGTGAAAAAGCAGTTTGGCTGCCTCTTTTGACAGCACCTGCAGTCCGCCAGGAGACCACTCCAGTCCCTAGTCTCCTCAGACTCCCCAGAGCCTGAAGGCAACAATGACTAAGGTTGCAAAATACCAAAGATCCTCTGGGGGCTCCATCTAAGGTAGGTATAATGCTGCTATGCATAGTTGGCTGGATTTCCAAGCCAGTGGGTCTCATCCTGTAAGACACCATGGAAATGGAGCCTACAGACCATTGCTGCTCAACTCCCTGGATTCAGTCCCTTTCCTTGGTGTACATATGGAGGTCTATCTAACCTCTGGCTTTGCTGGGGTTACAGATGCTTTTGCTGGGAAGCCTAGGTATCTAAAGCTCTTGGGGCTCTGTGTCTGCCTGAGCAGCTGCTCTGCTGAGAATTCACATAGTTCCGTATGTCAAACTGAAGGCCCTGGTGGAAGGGGTTTACAAGAGGATCTCCTGATTCAAGTGTTGCTAAGATTCATGGGAGAAGAGTGGGACTCCAGTGTTGGTCAATCACTTAGTCACTACTTCCTTCATAAGGGCAGGAGAGGCAGGGTAGGCTCCCCTGGCTCTATGTCACTCCCAGGTGAGCAGTCATCCTGCCTTGCTTTTCTCCATTCTCTGTGGGTTGAGTAGTTTTCTTGATGAACCCCAGTTCATGTACCTGGATGAATTTACTATATTTACTTGCCCCTTCTATTTCTCTCTGTGAGAGTGCCACACACTAGCTGTTTCTAGTGGGCCATCTTGGCCAGCCCTTTAGTTTTATTCATAATTCCCAAATGTGCAAATAATCAAGATATCTTCAGTAAATGAATGGATAAATAAACTGCAGTACATTCAGACAGTGAAACATTATTTAACACTGAAAAAATGAGCTATCAAGCCATGAGAAGAAATAGAGGAAACTTACATGCATATTACTAAGTGAAAGAAGCCAATCTGAAAAGACTATGTACTATATGGTTCTTACTATATGACCTTCTGGAAAGGGCAAAAGGTAGAGATGGTAGAAATATCAGTAGTTGCCAGAGCAAACTTAATCATAGAGTAATTGCTGCTCAAATTAAATGTCTAATGAATAGCTTAACAGAAATCCCAGAAAATATAAAACTGGCTCCATGTAAGTTATCTGCATCACAGAATAAAGCTCAATAATATTTATAGAAATTCAAAAATATGCAGGAATCAACAAGAAAAATTGCACCTGGCAAACAGTGAAAAATTATGGGCATTCAAAAAGTTGGAAAATATGACCTGTAATAAAAGAAATATTAATCAATAGAAACTGACACTAGTTGATAACAGAGATGTTGGAATTAGTTATTATAACTATATTCTATATATCAAGAATGTAGAGGAAAGATTGAAAGTGTAAAGTCAAGACAGGCAAGATATAAAAATGATCTAAAACAAACTTTAGAAGTTATTTAAAATGTTGAAACATACAATGGCTGTAAATATAAAATCTAGGTTTGCACAAAGGAATGAAGAGCACCAGAAATGCTATGTAGCTAAGTATAATATGCATTATTTTTTATTTTAAATCTCATTAAAAGATAATTGACTATTTAAAGCCAAAATAAAACAATATTGTATAAATCAAATGAAATGTATGGCAGCAGTAGCACAAAGTCCAGAAGGGGAGAAATGGAAATTTACTGTTATGAGCTTCTTATTCTATATGGGAACTTAAAGATAGAGTGTATTAGAATTAAGACGAATTATGAGGCAAACACTCAATTTTTTTAAAGTTATAGCTAATAAGACAATGAAAGAGATAAAATGAAATCATAAAAATAATAAAAAAGGGATAAAAGCTGGGAAAAAGGGACCAAATAATAGATATAATAAACAGAAAACAATTATTACATTGATAGATTTATAACAACCATATCAATAGCCACAGAAAATAGTCTAAATATTTGTAGTATTGGTTAAGAAGCAACACCCCCTGTATGTTGCTTATAAGAAAGACATTTTAGACATAAGTGCATCAATAGGTTAGAAGTAAAAGAAGTAAAAATATATACTATTCTAAAACTAATCAACATAAAGCAGAAGTGATTATGTTAATATCACAAAAAGTAGATTTCAGAGCAAAAAGTGTTACCAGGGATAAAGGAAATAATTTCATTAAGATAACAGGGAAGATGCATCCTCAATGCTTATGCCCCTAAGAGAGTTCTGAGGTATGTGAAACAAGAACTAATAGAATTATTAGAGAAATAGAAAAATCTACAATTATAGTAGAAGATTTAAATATTGCTCAACAATTGACAAAACAAATAAATCGGTAAAGATGTAGAGCTTTGAACAGCACTATCAATCTGCTTGACCTAACTGGCATTACAGAACACTCTAGAACTTTTATCCCTACCAGGTAATAATACCAGTTCTCACTTCCAGCACCATCATTGTCAGTGGTGAATGCAAATACCACACTTCTCACCCCGCAGTGTCAATTGAGACTTCCACCCACATCCAGCAGCAAGGTAACCCATCCTTTTCCTACTTGGCTAGTGTCAGAGAAGGCCTATGAGAATCAGGACTTCAATAACTGCCTAACAGTAATGAAGCCATCATCCTCATGGTATTAGTTGCGGTGGGGGAAACTAACACCATGAAAACTGACACCATATGGAAAGCAGCAATAATGTGTTCCTGCTATGCCCAGCTGAGGTGGCATCAGTGGAGTCCAAATTGGGAGTCAAGATTTTCACATCTGCCTAGCACTACTAGGCTGTGGATGTCAATGGAGACAGAGTGGGAAACTTGCATTTTTACGAAGACCTTGTGGTAACAAGAGGGTGCCTCTCTTTCCCCAGCCAGAGAAGTGACAAAAAAAGTCTACTACAACTTAAGATTTAATAAAACCCAAAGTTTCATAAAATATTAATTGAAATCAAAAGATCTAGAAATATCTTAATGTGACTCAAAACACAATAGATACCAACATTGAGTTGAGAAATATTAGAATTATCTAACAAAGACTTAGGGTAGCCATTATTAAAAAAAAAAAAAACCCTCAACAAGAAATTATCATTTCTCTTAAAACAAGAAAAAGAAAAGTCTCCACAAAGAAATAAAATGTCCCAGCAAAGAAGCAGAAGATGTAAAGAACAACTACATGGTAATTTTATAACTTAAAAAGAGATACACATGTGAACACGCACACACACACACACACACACACACATCTCTTGCTGAATAGGCTCAACATCAGAAAAAATGGAACAAAAGAAGGAATCAGTGAATTAGAAGATGAAAGAATTAAAATTATGGAATCTAAACAATAGACTGTTAAAAAAAAAGAAAACAATTGAAAATAGTCCCAGAGACCAAAGGGACTATAGTGAAAGATCTAAGATTTGTGCCACCAGGGTCCCAAAAGAGCAGAAAAAGAGGGCAGGGCTAGAAAGAGTGCTTGAAGAAAAAAACCTGAAATTTTCCAAGTTTAGAAAAAGACAAACTTACAGGTTCAAGAGGCTGAGTGCAATTTAAACTGAATAAACCCCCAAAAATTTACACTATATATAATTGTCAAAATTCTGAGAAAAACTAAAGACAAAGAAAAATATTTTGATAACAGCCAGAGAGAAACAAAACTCTGCTTACTGGGACGAGATAATTTGAGTGAGAGCAGATTTCCCATCAGAAAACATGGATACCAGAAGGAAGAGGCACAACTTTTTGCAAGTGTTGAAAGAAAAGAAACGTCAACTCAGAATTCTTATCCAGTGAAAATATCTTTTAGGAATAAAGAGAAAATCAAAGCACTCTCAGAGAAAGCAAAACTTAGAAATTTATCATCAGCAAAACTACCTTTAAAAATGTATAACGGTGCTTCTGTAAGTAAAAAGGAAATGAAAAAAGAAGGAATCTTTGATCATCAGCAAGAAAGAAGAAAAGCCAGAAATAGTATAAATATGAAAAAATACAACACATTTTATCTCTCCTCTTGAATTTTCTATACTATTTTTGCCATTTAAAGCAAAAATTATAACACTGCCTGATGTGATTCTAAATGCATATACAGGAAATATTGAAGATAATCCTAAACAGAGGAAGGTAAATAGATGCAAATGTAAACTTTCTATATACCAAAGAGATCATTGTTGACACCAGTAGATTGTTATATGTTATGTTTAAATAATTTAAAGTATAAATAATTGAATGTAATATAGTAAAACCACTAAAAAAACTATATAAAGAGGCACAGAGGCCGTGCCTGGTGGCTCAAGCCTGTAATCCCAGCACTTTGGGAGGCCCAGGTGGGTGGATCACTTGAGATCAGTAGTTTGAGACCAGCCTGTCCAATATGGTGAAACCCTGTGTCTACTAAAAAAAAAAAAAAGACAAAAAAAATTAGCCAGGCATGGTGGCATATGCCTGTAATCCCAGCTACTGCAGAGGCTGAGGCAGGAGAATTGCTTGGACGTTGAAGGCGGAGGTTGCACTGAGCCGAGATCATACCACTGTACTCCAGCCTGGGCTATAGAGTGATACTCCGTCTCAAAAAAACAAAATGATACAAAACAAAAACAATGACAACAAAAAAGAGGCACAGCAAAAACTATTAAAGGTAAATCAAAGCAATATTCTAAGAAAAGTTCAAGTAACCTACAGGAAGGCAGAAAAATAAAATGGAGAAAAAAAATACCCGAAAGAACAAACAAACAAAAGGTTTAAATCTTAACATATCAAAAATCACATTAAATGTAAATGATCTAATTATATCAATTCAAATAATTTGGCAGAGTAAATTGAAACAAATTAATTATATGCTGTCTATAAGACATTCAGTTAGAAAATAATGATATAGATAGATTGAAAATAAAAGGACAGAAACATTAATTCTTTAAAAAGTGTTTATATCAATGTCAGAGAAAGTAAACTTCAGAGCAAAGAAAATACAAGAGACAGAGAGAGGCATTACTTACTGATAAAAGTCAGTCCACCGAAAAACCTGACAAACCTAAATGAATACAGTAGTCCCCACTTATTTGCAGTTTTGCCATCCACAGTGTCAGTTACCCTCAGTACAGTACAATAAGATATTCTGAGAGAGAGACAGAGTGAAAGCACACTCTCATGAGTTTTATGACAGTATATTATAATAATTGTTCTATTTTATGGCTAGTTATTTTTGTTAATGTGGGTCTAGTTTACAAATTAAACTTTGTCATAGGTACATATGTATAAGAAAAAATACAGATAGAGAAAGTGAAGGCCTAGGACATTACTGTACGCTGCTGTAGAGTTTATAAACACTGAATAGTACACTTAAGCTACATTAAATTTATAAAAAGAAAATTTTTCTTTTTCAATAATAAATTAACCTTAGCTTACTGTAACTTTTGTACTTTTAAAACTTTAAATATTTTGAAAACTTTTTGACTGTGTTGTAAAAAGACTTAGCTTAAAAAACACTTTGTACAGCTGTGCAAAAATATTTTCTTGCTTTATATCCTTATACTATGAGCTTTTATCTATTTCAATGCTTTTATTTTGAAACTTAAAAACGAAGACCCAAGCATACACATCAGCCTAGGCCTACACAAGGTCAAGATCCTCAATATCACTGTCTTCCACCTCCACATCTTGTCCCATTAAAGGGTCTTCAGGGGCAATATCACCCAAGGAACTGTCATCTCCTATGATAACAACGCCTACTTCAGGAATACCCCCTGAAGAACCTGCCTGTTTTACACTTAGCTTTTTTTGCAAATAAATAGGAGTATACTCTAAAATAACAAAAAATATATAGTATGGTAAATACAGAAACCACTAACCTAGTCATTTTTGTTATTTATTATTAATTATTATTTATTATCAAGTATTATGTACTATACATAATTGTATGTGTTAGACTTTTATATGACTGGCAGCACAGCAGATTTGTTAACTCTAGCATCACCACACATCCATGAGTAATGCATTGCACTGCGATGTTATGATGGCTACAACATCACTAAATAGTAGACATTTTTCAGCTTTATTATAATATTCTGGGACAGTTCTCATGTATGCGGTTTGTCATTGATCAAAACAGCAGTATGCGGCACATATAACTGTACTATGAAACCTTTTTTGGCATATATATTTCATCACTTAGATCATGGGTGTCCAATCTTTTGGCTTCCCTGAGCCACATTGGAAGAAGAAGAATTATCTCAGGCCACACATAAAACACACTAACACTAACGATAGCTGATGAACTAAAAAAGAAAAAAAGCATTGCAAAAAAGCTAATAATGTTTTAAGAAAATTTACAAATTTGTATAAATTTAACACATGTAACACATGTAAATTTAACATATTTAACATGATTAGCCATTAGAGAAATGCAAATTAAAACCACAGTGAGATATCATTACATACCTATCAGAATAGCTAACATAAAATAAATACAGACATCACCAAATGGCTTGAAGTATGTGGAGAAACTAGACAGTTGTCAATAAGGATCATTGAAAAGCAAAGGAGCTAGACTAGCTAAATCAATTTTGAAAAAAAAAAGTGTGAGGCATCAGTTCACTTAATTTTAAGATATTTTATATCACAGTAATCAAGACTGTGTGGTATTAGTGAAAAGATTGACATGTAAGTCAAATAAACAGAATGTGTAGCCCAGAAATAGACCCATTACATATTTCTCACTAATTTTTTAATAAAGGTACCAAAATAATTCAATGAAGTTAGAATAGTCATTCAATAAATGGCATTAGAAAGCTAGACATTCATAGTTTTTTAAAAAATTTACCTCAGTCTGAATCTCATACTTTATATCAAAATTGACACAAAATATACCAAATATTTTAATATAAATCACAAAATCATAAAAGTTTTCAATAAAAGCAGCAGAGAATATCTTAGGTCTAGGGTGAGTCAAAGGCTGGACAGTAAAATCAAGATCCATAAAGGCCATATTGATAAGTTGAATTAGAAAATGGGCAAAAAGCCTGAAAAGACATTGCTATTTAAGATAATTAGCCATTGGAGAAAAGCAAATTAAAACCACAGTGAGATATCATTACATACCTATCAGAATAGCTAACATAAAATAAATACAGACATCACCAAATGGCTTGGTGTATGTGGAGAAACTAGACAATTGTCAATAAGAATTTAATGATACAGCTACTATTGAAAATATTTGGCAATTTCTTATAAATGTAAACACACAACTACCATAAAGCCCTATAATTGCACATTTGACAATTTATCCCAGAGAAATGACAAGTTGTGTTCACACAAAAACATGTCCATTTATGTTTATGTTTGCTTTATTTTTAAAACAAAAGAATAGAAAGAGCACAGATGTCATTCGATGGGTAAATGGTTAAACAAACTGTGGTACATCTATACCATGGCACACACTCAGTGATAAAATTGATACATGCAACAAGCAAATATATCTCCAGAAAATTATGCTGAGAGAAAAATGGCAGTCCTATGAAGTTACATACTATATAATTCCATTTACATAACATTCTTGAAATGATCAAAATATAAAATGGAGATGGTTGCTGGGAAATGGTGAGGCAGTATGGTAGAGCAGTAGCTGCAGCTGTATGAGAACAAGAAGAATAAGCCTTGTGATGATGGAATTGTTCTGTATCCTAAAAGCATCAATATCAGCATTCTGGTTGTGATACTGTATTATGGCTTTGCAGGATGTTATGAGGTCATTTGTATTATTTGTCACAACTATACGTGAGCCTACAGTTATTTCAAAATGAAATGTTAAAAAATGTTTCATACCACCACCAATAGCATGAAAATACGTTAAATACTTAGGGATAATTTAAAAAAAAATCTGAAAAAGCTATAAAATGAAAATAAAAAAGAGATTTTTATAATTAAAAAATAAATGAAAATTTTGCTGGATTGAATGCCATATATAGAAATTAACTCTAAATTTATGATGTACTTTAATGTAAAAGCTAAATTTATAAAACCCCTAGAAGATAACAAGGGTACAAATCTTAGTGATTTTGAGATTAGCAAAGATTTCTTACTCATGATTCAAGAAGCCCAAATATAAAAATATGTCTTAATATGGGACTCACCAAAATAAAAGGAAAGTTACAGACTGGAAGAAAGTATTTGCAAAATACATGTATAGCAAGGAATTTTATCTGGAAAATGTAAAGACCTTTCACGATTCTATAACAGCCCGGTTTTTTGAAAGGGGGAAAAATATTGAATAGATACTTTCCCAAAGGTGTATGGATGGTATAAAAGCAAATAAAAAGATGCTCAACATCATTATTCCTTAGGGAAATGCAAATTATAACCACAAGGAGATCCCATTGCACATTCTATTAGAATACCTAAGATTAAAAAGATTAATCATAGAAAGTGTGGAGGAACTGGGATTCTCATATATACTGCTGATAGGAATAAAAAGGGGCATAATCATTAAAAAGCTGGATTACAGTTTCTTATAAAGTATGTGTTTATTGATATACCATACAAGCAATATTTTTACCATACGATTAAGCCACTCCATTCCTGGGTATTTACCTAAGAGAAATAAAAGCATATGTCTACTTGAAGACTTATACATGAATATTCTTTATGAAGAACATTTATAAATAATAGCTTTATTTGCAATATAGAAAAACTGGAAACAACCCAATTGTGTACCAACAGACAAATGCATAAACAAATTGTCATGTGTCTATACATATATTGCTTGACTACTTCTTAGAAGTAAAAAAAGTGAACTATTGATGCGTACAACCTGGATGGATCTCAAAATAATCATGCTGTGTGAAAGAAGTCAGACAAAAATGTGCACAGTGTAGGATTTCACTTATTTAAAAAATTCTAGAAATTGCGGGTCAATCTGTGGTGACAGAAAGCAGATCTGTGGTATCCTGGGGAGGAGGGATAGGTAGGCACCAGGAGTCACAAAGAAACTTTTGGTGAGAGACGTAATGACTATCTTGATTGTAGTAATGGTTTAATGGGTATAGGCACATGTTAAAACTCACCAATTGTACACTTTAAATATGGGCAGTTTGCTTCCAAATAAATGACAACATGCTAGAATTTCATGACCTTGCATTTCTTTTTTTTTCCTTCCCCTTTTCCTCCTTTCTCTTCCTCCTTTTCCATACATACTTAAGGAATAGATCATTTTATTCATATACTATTTCTTAACAGGACCATAATGCACTGGTTTAAATTTATTTCTGAGAGATTTCTCCTATGCATTTGCAGGGTTAGCTGCCCTTCATTTTCCACACTAATTTAACCTGTAAATAAGTTTTCAGTCACGACATTTTTTTTTTTTTTGAGATGGAGTCTCACTCTGTCGCCCAGGCTGGGGTGCAGTGGCTCAATCTCGGCTCGCTGCAACCTCCACCTCCAGGGTTCAAGCAATTCTCCTGCCTCAGCCTCCCAAGTAGCTGGGATTACAGACGCCTGCCACTATGCCTAGATAAATTTTTGTGTTTTTAGTAGAGATGGGGTTTCACCATGTTGGCCAGGCTGGTCTCAAACTCCTGACCTCATTATTCGCCTGCTTTGGCCTCCCAAAGTGCCGGGATTACAGGAGTGAGCCACCACGCCTGGCCGTGGCACCTTTTTGAGTAAACACAAGATTTGTACTCAGGAATTGGATTTTACGTCAAGGAACTTCCTTATCTGACTCTATCATCACAGGAAAATCTGTGAACTTGTCTAAATTTTTACTTTTTCACCTGTGAAATGGGAATACAAAATCCATTTTAAAATGTGTTAAATGAGATATGCTTTGAAAGCATGATATTTTTATGACTGATGTACAGAACTACCTTATCTCTCAGTATTGGCTTATCTGTAAGACATATTCTAGGTATTCAATGAATACTTTGATGTTGAATGTGTTTATTTCATTAATTCATTACCTTAGTAAGTATGGATATCTTGAGAAAGGAACACAAAATAGGTAATTTTGGTGAAAAAAACTGAACAAGATCATAAAGAATCTTCCCTCTTCTAGCAGGTGTAGGGGACAGATTTGCTGGGTTGGGATGAGGATCAGCACTGAGCTACTGTGGGAAAGTGAAAATAAAAGAATGAGAATGAGGTGAAAGAAGAGTGATAATCTAGAGGAGTAATCATTGTCTACTTAGAAATTTCCTACCCTGCTAGTTTTGCTTGGCTAAAAATATAGTTTTACTTCCTTGCTTAAAAATCAACATGTACATCCACTACCTCCAGGATCAAGTATAAAGCCTGAGTGTTTAATATGTGACTCCTCTTCCTCTTGGGTTCTTCTTCCAACTCACCTTTCCTTTCTCCTCTAACTCCTTATTATGCACCACACATCTCAGCCAAACCAAACTACTGTCCGTTTCCCAAAGACACAGTTTCTTTTCTGCTGCCTCTCAGTCTCTGTTTATCTTATTCCATCTCCTGTGGGTTTCTTCTAATACTTGCCTGCTAGGTGAAGTCCTCTTGTTCAATACTCTGGTCAAATGTCACTTCCTTTGTGAAAACTTCTCTTTTTTCACAGGCAAAACTAATTTTTTCCCCAAATGTGTACATTTGTCACAGCTAATGAACCAATATTGATATGTTGTAATTAGGTAAATTCCATACTTTATTCAGATTTCATTAGTTTCTCGAATGTCCTTTTTCTGTTCCAGGATCCCATCCAGGATATGGCATTACATTTAGTCATCATGTCTCCATAGCCTCCCTCTGGGCTGTGATAGTTTTTCAGATTTTCCTCGTTATTGATGATGACCTTGACAGTGTTAAGGAGTACTGGTTAGCTATTTTGTAGAATGTTCTTCGGTTTGGGTTTGTCTGATATTTTTCTCATGGTTAGACTGGGGTTATGAGTTTTGGAGAGGGATCACAGTACATTATACAAAGGGGACATGCTATCAACAAGACGTATCACTGATTAGGGATGCCTCCACCACCTAGCTGAGGCAATGCTTGCCAAGTCTCTCCACTGCAAAATTACTTTTCTCATTCTTTCTGTACCGAACAGGAAAGCAAGTCAGCAAGACCCGCAATTAAGGATGGGGTATTATTTCTCACCTAATTTAGTGGGGAGTATCTACATTATTTTTTGCAGTTCTTCTGTATGTAAATGTTTTCTTCTTTCCTGTTAATTGACTTATTCAATTATTTATTAATATCAGTATGAAATTGTGGCTATTTGTTTTATGTTTGATTTAAATCCAATATTGTATTATTTCTTTTGTTGCTCAAATTTTTCCAAATTTGACCATTGAGAGCTCTGTCAGTTTGGCTCCTCAGTCCCTTTGACATAACCTCATTCTTTTTTTTAGCACTTTCTTACTTTCTTACACTACAAATATTAAAGGCTCATTTTTTATATTCCACATTCCAGTCCTATAATTAGCCATTTCTCCAGGGACCCCTGGTTACGTTTACTGGGAAAGAGCATTAAAAACCACAATGTGAGAGCTGGGTTTGTTCTTTGTTACTGCAGTGTGATTGATTCTAGACCATCTCAGTGGACAGCACTAGGAAAAATGTGTATTTATACTAATCCATTTGTGCACATATTTCTCTATCCATAGTATTTCTATAATGCTAAGTGGGAGTTTATACTGATGTCTGTGACTCTCACTGAGTACCACATGGCACTTCCTGGCCTTCCCTCTGTAATTGTAGCCTCCCACTCCAACAGTGAGAAACCTGCCTCCCATCATCAGCCATCTATTTACTTACTTGTCCAGTCCTAGTATAGATGCACAGCAGTTTCAGAATTGTTAGCCTGACCCCTGTGAGATACGCTTTATTAACTACAGTATAGTGCTTATGTACAGGTCTTTTCCTTTAGTCTTAGAGTTTCTAATCATTTCCTAAGTTAATTGGGTCAGCACCTAGTTTTTCCTATTCCATGGTGAATTATGACATGTATTTAAATAGAGTTAGATTCTTTTTCCACAGTCTACATCAATCCTTGCATCAGTTACCTTTATACGCACACACACATACATAAACATTATATATGTAAACCTTATATATATAAACATTCTATACATAATCTTAATATTTGTGTTGCAAAAGTCTATGGGCTTTGACAAAGGGATATATCATGTATTCATTACTAGGTAACATATAAAATAGTGCACAGCCCTAAAGTAACCCCATATGCTTCATCTAGTCAAACCCTTCTCCATTCTAGTAAGTGTTTAGTAGCATCCGACTGATGTTTTAATTTGTATTTCCCTAGTGACAAGTGATGTAAACATCTTTGCATATGTTCATTTGCTATCTCCATATCTTCTTTGATGATTTACCTGTTCAGATATTTTCCCCATTTTTTAATTGAGTTATTTTCTTACTGTTGAGTTTTGAGAGCTCCTTATATACTCTGGATATGAGTCCTTTATCAGAAATGTGGCCTCTTTACAGTGTCTTTCACATAATTTTTTTTTCTTTTAAGAAAGTTAAACTTATTTTTTTCCTTCAAGAATTGCTGGTTTTGTAGCCAAAACTTATCACAAAGCCCAAGGTTTCAGTTTCTCCTGTGTTATCCTCTGGTAGTTTTATAGTTTTGTGTTTTATTTACACTTAGGTCTACAATCCATTTTGGGCTCATTTTGGGTAATGAATTATGTCAGCACCATTTCACATGAACGTCCAATTATTCCAGCATCGTTTGTCAGAAATAAGTTGGCTGTATCTGTGTTGGTCTATTTCTGGGCTCTGTTCAATTTACCTATGTATCTCTTCTTTGGCCAATACCATGCCTACTCCATAACTGTAGTTTACAGTAAGTCTTGAAATTGGGTTATATGAGTTCTATAATTTTTGCTTTTCCTTTAGGCTTTTTTGGTTATTCTGGTACCTTTGCCTTTCCATACACATATTAAATTCAGGTTGTCAAATTTAAAAAAAAGCTACGATTTTTGTCGAGATTCCATTGTAGATAATTTAGAAAGAATTGAATCCATGAACATGAAATATCTCTTCCATTTATTTAGTTCCTTATTTTTTTCAGAAGTGTTTTATAATTTTCTACATACAGATTCTTTGCATATTTTGTTAGATAAGATTTTTACCTAAGCACTTCAGTTTTGAGGTGCTACTTTAAATGGTAATTTTTACCATTTCAAATTCTAATTATTTATTGCTATATTTAGGAAAATTTATTGGCTTATGTATATTGATCTTATATACTGCAAGGTATTTTTTGTTTGTGTGTGTGCATTTTTTTCTGTTTTATCTTGCTTGATGTTTTTAAGCTTTTGGAAACTGATTTGGAGTTTGCCATTAATTCTGGAAAGTTTTAGTCACTACTATTTCAACTATTTCTTCTATCTATTCTCTTTTCTTCTCCTTTTGCTATGCCAAAAAAGTATATGCTACATCATTTTATATTGTTGATCTGTCTTTAGTTTTTAAAAATGTTTCTCACTCTTTTTTTCCCTTTAGTATTTCAGTTTGAGAAGTTTCAGTTTATTTCTTTCAAGTTCACTGATTATTTCTTTGGCTGCTTTATGTCTATCAATGAGCATCCATTGAAGGCTTTCCTAATTTCTGTTATTTTTTTATTTATATTATTTATTCTCTTATCTGGATGTAATTCATATGCTATAAATTCACTTTTAAAGTGTATGATTTAGTAATTTTTACTATATTTATCACACTCACTCTCTGCAAAAATATCCATACTCATTAGAAGCCACTCCCCATTTCCACTTCTTAGCAGCCCTTCCACTCATCAAAACAACTAACAATTGAATTTCTGTATATATGAATTTTCCTCTACTGGGCATTTTTATACATGGAATCATATAACATAGAGATATTTGCTAACTGACAAATTATCTCAATTTTTTGTTTATTTAGAAATGTCTTAATTTATCTTTTATAATTGAAGGACAGTTGTGCTGGCTGCAATGTTCTTGGTTAATGCTCTTTTTCTTTCAGCCTTTGAATATGTCTTCCCACTGCCTTCTTGCATTCATGATTTCTGATGAGAAATCCATTCATAATCTTACAGAGGAGTTCTTGTATATAATGATCAATTAAACTTGTCATACATGTCTCTGAGGCTCTGTTCATTTTTCTATTCTTTTATATTTCTGTTTCTCAGACTAGATAATCTCATTCGAACTCTTTCAAGTTCACTTATTTTTTTCCTTTGGGCTGCTCAAATCTGCTATGAGCTCTTCTCATGATTTATTTATTTTCTTTTTCATTTCCAGAATTTCCATTTGGTTCTTTTGAATAAATAATTTATATATTTTCATTGATATTTTAACATGATAAGACATTGCTTTCATAATTTTCTTTAGTTCTTTAGAAATGGTTTCTTTTAGTTGTTTGAACATATTCTAAATAACGGATTTAAAATATTTGTACCAGAACTCCAACATCTGGACTTCCCAAAAGAGTTTCTATTGACTGATTTTTTTCTTGCATATGTGCCACAGTTTTATGTGCCAAACTTTATTTCTTTTCATTTTTTTTTTGTTTTTTTAAACACATTTTAAGTAATATAATGTAGTAACTCTAAAAATCAGATTTTTCCCCTCTCCAGGGTTTGTTTTGTTGTAGTTTTTAAATTATTTATTTATTTAGACAGAGTTTCGCTCTTGTTGCCCAGGCTGGAGTGCAGTGGTGCAACCTCAGTTCACTGCAACCTCTGCCTCCCGGGTTCAAGTGTTTCTCCTGCCTCAGCCTCCAGAGTAGCTGGGACTACAGGCACCTGCCACCACGTCCTGCTAATTTTTCTATTTTCAGTAGAGACGGGGTTTCACCATGTTGGCCAAGATGTTCTCGATCTCCTGACCTTTTCATCTGACCACCTCAGCCTCCCCAAAGTGCTGGGATTATAGGTGTGAGCCACCACGCTCGGCCTGTTGTAGTTTTCTGCTTATTAAGTTTTCTGAACTAATTTTTTAAAGTCTGTGTTATTTGTCATTTGTGGCCACTGATGTCTCTGCTCAGTTATTTCAGTAGCCAGCTAATGGCTGTACAGAAGTTATTTTAAATTCCTGAGACCAATTAATCTTCAGTCATTGTTAAATGGTTCTCTCTCTCTCACTTGCCATGGGTGTGTGTGTGCATGTGCACATGTGTGTGTTAGGTGTTGGGATACTCAATCAGGCAACTACAGGCATGCACCACCACACCCAGCTAATTTTTTGTATTTTTAGTAGAAACAGGGATTCACCATGTTGGCCACGGTGGTATCAAACTCCTGACCTCAGATGATCCTCCTGCCTCAGCCTCCAAAAATGCTGGGATTACAGGCATAAGCCACCACGCCCTGAAAAAGATAAATTTGGATATACCATTTCAGTTGAAACCAGTAGCTTCAATAATGTGATACATTTCCCTGCGTGGATTATTCAATGAATACAGCAATATTACCAAATGTAGTCTCAAAATAACTTTTGGTAGTAATATGGGAGTATAAGTACGCACTTAATAGGTGAAAACCTAAAAGGAGGTTCAAAATTTGGATTAGTATTCTAGTATGTTTATCAATAATTGCTTATTAATAATTTAATTGCATCTCTGTATAGTGATGTCATAGCATCCACATATTTATACCAGATATTTTTCATATTAGTGTAATATCTTTATAAATAAAACAGGATGATTGACAGCTCATTTTATCAGTCTGTTTCGCTGGATTCTTTCCTCTGTCATCACCCAAACTTTGGTGTTCCAGACTTTCCCTCCATAAGCACTAATGTTGAAATGCTTTTCAAGGCTCAGTTTCCTTCATGCTTTCTAATGGTCTATTGGCCAAAGCAAGTAACATAGCTGAGCCTAGATTTAATGGGTGGAGAAATACACTGACTGCACCATTTTATGAGAAAAGTGGCAACATCAACTTGCAAGGTGTACATACAGGAACAGGGGAAGTTTGCAGCCATTTTGTGAGCTGCTATATTCATTTCGCAGGCATAGTACTTTTTACAGTATTTGATTCAGGAAGCACTCAGTAATTACTTGCTGCCTAACTGACTGATTGAATAAAAGTAGGCATTCATATTTCAAATTGAAGAATGACTATATTTACAATTACTTTTCTTCTTTTTTGAAAAAAAAAATTGCTGCCTTGAAATGGTAACATGCTTAAAAGTGACTTTAAGTTCTGGCTGTTCATTCTTATTTGAGATTAAGAAATGCAATAAAATGCATCCATATTTCATCAAGGCAAAGTGTTAAAAATAGACTACTTAACAGACTTTTGCAGGTTAGAGGTTTTAAACATCCAAATGATGAGGAGAAAACAACTTCAGCATTTTGTTAGTACGAGTAAAAATGGAATATATAGTATCAACATGAAGATATTTTTTCTCTTTTGAAAAGGAACAGATAGGATGGCATATGCTTTTCTAAATGTGGAGCTTCTCAGTGCTGAGTTCAACCAGCACAACAGTAGCAATTAGATGACTCAGCTTCAAAAACGCTCCCTAACTACACTATGCAAAGTCAGGTGGTCTAGAATGGTAGTCAGTGAAAATTTTAGTTATCATACTATTTATTTGAGATGATTTTTACTAGGTATCTAGGTCAGCTTGATTTTCTAGCTTTGTTGCTAGAAAAGTCATGATGGATTTTTTTTAACTTGTTCTTGATGGCCCAGAAATTAAAAGATTGTGGGTCCTAGCATCTTTGATAGATGCAACAGTTGGTTTAACAAAAAATTTTTATAAAATTGCTCCTTAGAAAAGGTAATTTAAAAACATGAACTCAAATTTGTTTGTGAAACTAGTATTGTCAGAGTTGATTAATTGTGACCCTCACATATAAAGGATTCCAGTCTTTAGACATATTTATGGAAGCTGCCATGAGCTTAGTGTTTCTTGGTTCCATTATTAGGTTTCACAGATTTGGATACAAATGGCTAGTTTCATACTTGATCTTACTGTTCTAATTACTTCACTCATTTCTCTCATTCATCAACTCTTCTGCCTGGAGGTCAAAATGGGACCAGTTACTAATCAAGGCCAATGGCAACCATGGCTACATTGAGGCGCCATGTTTCATCTGTCAAGGGGCATCTATCACTCCTCTCCTTGTCAAAAAGAAAATTAAATTAGACTAACACGAATTTCTATTTTTGCCCCGATTAAAGGCCTGCATCTTCCCTAGGCATTGCCTGACACAATCTTGACTTGAGAGAGACTCGATGTTCTTATAACATCATTTGAAGAGTGCATGCTTGTCTCCCTGGGTTATTATTCTTCAGATTCACTTGTTTTTCATGGACTATAGGCTAGATAATCTAGACATCCTTTGGGGTGTTAATTAAGAAGAGTATCCAAAATTAATCAACAGACTCACTAGGGCGAAGGGGAGCTGTCTGAGGACCTTGGAATATAACACGCTTCTGGTGCAGAGAAACGAGCCTTCGGCTATTGACAAAAAGCAAACAAGTGCACAGACGGCAATGTGACATAAAAATTTATATATATATGCAAGTATACACTCATTTTTCTTGTCAGCTTGTCAACTTTAATTATAAAGGTTGATTTGCTGTTTGGCAGATCTCAACATTGTAGATGATGACAATTTGAAAAGCATCATATGGTCAATGTCTTAGAAGAACAATGGGATAGAAAGGTAATGGATGAGTGATGTGTTTAAAGTCCATACTGAGCACAAAAATGATTGCACTGTAGCCTAATTGTAAAAATTCTGTCATCTCTTCAGGAAAGAGAATATATTTTACCTATAACAGAATATTGATAATTGATTAAAACTACTGATTTAAAAGGTACATTTCCCCAATCATTATCCCTTATTCTTTTTATAAAGTTTCTTAGTTTACTCTAATATACTTGTATGTATTGGATATTAAAGGTTTAGAACTTGTAGCTAAAAGTAACCTTTTTAGCAAATCCTTGGTTTTGATCATAACAAATTAACTTCAGATCTATAACAAGCATTGTTATTTCACTTCCAACATTACAGAATCAAATAACACTTATCTGTGCTTATTTAGTTAATGAAGTTTTAGTATTTCTCAGCTATCTGCTAACTCGCACAGCAAAGGAATCTTTGCTGCCAAATTAAAGGGTGATGGATTCTTATTATGTAACTTCGAATTTCAACATGTTTTCCAAAGTCAGGAGATTGGGGACAACTGTTTTCACCTTTTAGCATTTCCAAATGCCCTTTGCCAGACGATAGGTTTAGAGTGCTTATATTCTTTAAAGATGGATACACCTTCAAACCCTAGTTTTGCCTCTAGTGGGTAAGAAATGAAGAAGCCACTGACTGGTCCTAATAAGTAATGTTTGAAACCTGAGTTATGCATACTTGTCTTGAGGTTTGGACTGAAACTCTCATAGGTACAACTTGCAAGGCAAGATTGGTACAACCTCCAAATTGGTGAGATTATTTTCCTACAAAAAGTAAGTAGTTTCTTACCTTAAAGCAACACCCTAACTTAGGTTTGACAAGAAATGAAATAAAAGCAATTAAGGGAAATTATTTTGTGCACTTTTTCAGGGCAATCAAACATGCATTCCAAGAGCCCAATTACATATCTTAGCAATCTAATTCATTATTGCCTATCTATCTAGCAGCATGATTATATAATTTATTTCTAATAGACAACATCCGTATAAAGGCTACAAAATATTCCTACTTGATTGTGTACATGAAGAACATTCTAGCAAATTATGTTTCTTGATTCATTTTTTATTTAATCTTCTTAATATTTGTAAAACAATTTTACAAGCACCCACATGATTTAATGTCAAGAAACTTGTTATTGACAAGATAGGAGTTTATGAAATAATCAGAAACTTCGGTGATTAATTTGAAGGACACAGTACAATTTTTTTTGGCTGTGATTTTTGATTGGATGTAATGAGTAAAGTTTTGAAATGGGAAGATTTTAAGCTTTTATAACATATTCTTTTTCAAATATGATATTCTGATATTAGTAACAAAAATAACTTAATCATAGTCATACTTGTTTCAACTATTTCTTAGGATAATTGATAGTTTAATGGCTTGTTAAATATTTTTCCCATAAACCATGCTCAAATTTCTTCCTTTTATCTTTACTTTGAAAAACAGATTCATCTGACTAAGCACATTATGTGTTAGATTATTACTTCTTACTCATCCGCTTTAAAGCATAATCTCATGATCAGATCAATTATACCCAGATTCCTTTGGGCTCACATTTGCTTTCATTCAACAAATCATTACTGACTCTCAACGTGCATGCTGTCATAAAAGTTACATTTTAGGGGACACATCATTTTTCTGTAGTAATATAAACTATCATTTAAAAATATATTTTAGTAAAGATGCATAGTCATAAAGGAAGTGGATCATTTAGCTGATACGTCTTTGGGATCTACTTAGCTACTTAACTAAATCAAAGCCATTGTTCCTTAGGTCAACCTTGTCAGTTTCTAGTTCATCTCATTTCCATCCGAGGCTGCTCTATGGGTAACATGGAAGAGCAGAGAATGGCGTCTACTTCCAAAGGAAGAAAGGGCATATTCACCACTTTGAATATCTCCTTAACTACCTCTGAGTTAACATAAGTTAACTCTTTTTGGAGGTGTAAACTGTGACCATAAAAAAGAAAGTAGTATGATCAATTGTATGTAGCACATCAGAATTCATATATCTAAACAGCTACACAAACAACATGTCAACCTGAGAACAAAACATAAGAGATACTGAAACTTTCCAGGAAATATAACAGGATGGAGAAAATTGTGTTTACCAGAAGCCCTAATATGTTTGTTTCAGTTGGGAAGAATAAATCTCTTGTGATTGAATGGAGGATGTTGACATGTTACAGAATCCATGATCTTGTCCAATGAATGGTCACCAGCTGTCATCTAAGGAGGGCTGGTTCTGTTTACCATGAAACTTTCTTTTGCTAAATAGACAAACAGTGCTGAGATGAGGAAAAGAGGAGAACTTTCCCATGAAGTGCCAATACCATCTCTAAATAAATACTGAAGAATTACTTAAAGTTACTGTTAAACTTTCCATTGTGCCAACTCATCTGTTTATCTGGGCTCTCAAGGCCTTTCAAATGTGTGCCACTGTTCAAAGAAATCTTTTTGGAAATTTTCTTTGGAGATTCCTCTTAGAGTTAGTTGTACATTCTTTAAAACATTTTCATTGATAACAAATGTATATTTGAGTGTGAATTAAATTCATTTTAAACAGTGAAATGTCATTTAATCTTGGTAAATAAATGTAATAACCAGGCTAACTGATTCTCTTCTGAGTCAAAAATACACTGTAACTATAGCATGACAAGGCTACAGATAATATATAAAACCACATCCAAAAAAAAAAAAATAGGGCTTTCAATGTGTTCTGAGCAAAAGCCTTATTACAGAAAGTGTATGATCTGCCAAAAAGTTTATTGTTAGGACAGTATTTACTTTTATTTTAGGTTCTGATTGGTTTATTTAGTAGATAATCATATTTTATATTGACATTGTACTTAGATTTATAGAAAATATAAATATATTTCCAATAAAATAGATCTAGAGGGTTATTTTGTATATTTCATGAAATAGTCACTATAGACATTGCCTGAAGATTTCTGACCAATGATCTATGATTCAAAAAAGAAACTGAAGAAGCAATTTTAGAACAATTGTTTTATGTAGCTTTAGTAAGTTTAAGGAGTATTCTAACAAGAAATAGAACAACCTGAAAATACAGATAGCACGAAAAATAATTAGATACATTCAATTATAAAAAATACTCATGAATGCTTTAACCTATGGCATTTTTAGAATATTTTGCACACAAACCCCACTAAAAATACATTATCTACTTTGATTCTCATAGTAAGCTAAAATAATATTATTAACTTTTTTTGACAAAGATTCAATAACAAAGGTTTAGCAAATTTCCCTTACACTTGTCCTCAAAATAAAGAGACTAGACACCAAAAAATTTTGCTCTCTTCTTACTACCCCTCGGACTCTGATGAAGTTCTCAGGATAATCTAAAAAACTGGCTGGTTTAGCAGTACAATGAATACTCAGGGCTGTAAATTGGCATAACAAATCTTCGTGCCCAAAAAAATCACATATGTTTGAATACAAACACACACACACACACACACACACACACACACACACAGACGTAAGTCAAATATACATCACAGTCAATATGGGCATAATGGTACTCATCCCCAAACCTCAAGGAATATCAACATTTATTTCATGCTGACATTCAAATTCTGATGCGTTTAGGCATGTTGAACTCATGGCAATCTGAAAAATGCCTACTAGGTATTTCTTAGAGTCTATTTAAAATTTGAGATTTAAAAAAATCAAATTATTTATCTATTTATTTGATATGGCTTAGACCTCAGATACTTTTGCCAGAACATTCCAAGTTATAGTTGCATAGTTTACTGATTTTGATGGGATTTTTAGGTAAAAAATTATCACCAATTTGTATTTACAGGTTGGACATTCCCTTATCTGAAAATCTGAAATGCTCCAAAATCTGAAACATTTTCAGCACCAACATAATGCTGCGAGTGGAAAATTCCACACCTAACTTCATATGACAGGTCATCATCAAAATGCAGTCAAAACTTTGTTTCATGCACAAAATTAGTTAAAATATTGCATAAAATTACCTTCAGGCTATGTGTACAATGTGTATATAAAACAAATTTCATGTTTCAGCTTGAGTTCCATCCCCAAGATATTCGTTATGTATATGCAAATATTCCAAAATAGAAAGAATCCAAAATCCAAAATCCAAAATTTTTCTGGTCCCAAGAATTTCAGATAAGAGATGCTCAACCTGTATTTCTAAACTATGACCACCTGTATTTCTAAACTATGACCATTGACTAATAAACAAATTATTCAATGTTGCATAATAAATTGTCAAGTTATCAATGAAAATGATGAATTAGTTTAGCATACATCTAGCTGAAAATTTTAACATATAAAATTAGTATTAATATAATCATATATGACTTCACTATCTTATTCCCTAAGACAAATTACTCACCTTTTTGCATCCTAATGTAACAAAATTTTTCATGCTGTTTTTAAAGTTGCAATATTCTTCACGTAGAAAGGTTGTGTAAACTTTCACAAATTAGGCAGCAGATCCACTAGAATATGACAAAAATTAGTAAATTGTGAAAATTTCAAGAAATGTGTAATCCATATTTACTTGCAAACTAAAGTTTTAACAGTTACATTAACTGGTGACAATAACATATAGAAATATTTCTAACTGTTAATATAATATATTTTATATTTTTTAATTGACAAGAGTAAATGCCCTGAATACTTAAACTCCTTCTTTCAAATTGTATTTCCTAGAATATTCTTCAAGGCTATTATGAAATTTTGTTACGATATAACTTAAAATTTACCTTATACCTTTTTACCAAGTTAACCTTAAAGATTCTTTTATTTTGGAATGCAGATGACTATATATTTTTATATTATTCATAATATATACATGAAATATAGTTTATATAGAATATATAATGTACAACATATGACAGTTCATTTTTATACATAATAATAAAATGTTTTTTTTTTTTTTTTTTTTTGAGACGGAGTCTCGCTCTGTCGCCCAGGCTGGAGTGCAGTGGCGTGATCTCGGCTCACTGCAAGCTCCGCCTCCCGGGTTCACGCCATTCTCCTGCCTCAGCCTCCCAAGTAGCTGGGACTACAGGCGCCCGCCACTATGCCCGGCTAATTTTTTGTATTTTTAGTAGAGACGGGGTTTCACCATTTTAGCCGGGATGGTCTCGATCTCCTGACCTCGTGATCCGCCCGCCTCGGCCTCCCAAAGTGCTGGGATTACAGGCGTGAGCCACCGCGCCCGGCAATAATAAAATGTTAATAACAGAATGGGAGAAAATATTTGCAAACTATCCATCTGACAAGAGATTAAGAACCACATTATATAAGGGGCTCAAACAAATCTATAGGAAAGAAATCTAATAATATGATTTAAAAATGGGCAAAAGTCTGTATAGGCATTTTCCAAATGAAGACATGCAAGTGACAAACAGGTATATGAAGAAATGCTCAACATCACTGATCATCAGAGAAATGCAAATCAAAACTACAGCGGACTATTATCTCACTCCAGTTAAATGGCTTTATCCAAAAGAGAGGAAATAATGAATGCTGGCAAGGATGTAGAGAAAAAAGAACACTTGCATATTGTGAGTGGGAATATAAATTAGTACAGTCACTATGGAAAACAGTATGGAGGTTCCTAAAAAACAAAATATAGAACTACCATATGATTCAGCTATCCCACTGCTAGGTATGTACCCAAAAGAAAGGAAGTCAATATATGGATATCTGCACTCCCATGTTTATTGCAGCACTATTCACAGTAGTTAACATTTGGAATCAATTTAAGCATCCATTAACAGATGAATGGATAAATAAAATGTGATACATGTACACAATGGAGTACTATTCAGCCGTAAAGAATAAGATCCTGTCATTTGCAACAAAATGGATGGAATGAGAAGACATTATTTTAAGTGAAATAAGTCAGGTACAGAAAGACAAGCGTTGCATGTTCTCAGTCATTTGTGGGAACTAAAAATTAAAACAATTGAACTCATGGAGATAGAGAGCAGAAGGATGGTTACCAGCTGCTGAGAAGAGTAATGGAGAAGAAGGATGCAGGGAGTGGGGGTGGTTAATGGACACAAATATATGCTTAGGAAGAATGAATAATATCTAGTACTCGATAGTACAACAGGGTATCTACAATCAATAATAATTTATTGTACATTTAAAAATAACTGAAAGAGTATAATTTGAATGTTTGTAACACAAAGAAATAATAAATGCTTGAGTTGAAGGATATCCCATTTACTCTGATGTGATTATTATACATTGTATGCCTGTGTCAAAATATCTCATGTACCCCATGTATATATACACATATATATGCATATACCTATACATATACATATATATCTACTGTTTACTCATAAAAATTAAAAATTGTGGGCCTGGCGCAGTGGCTCACAACACTTTGGGAGGCCCAACACTTTGGGAGACCGAGGCAGGTGGATCACGAGGTCAAGAGATCGAGACCATCCTGGCCAACATGGTGAAACCCTTTCTCTACTAAAAATACAAAAACTAGCTAGGCGTGGTGACGGGTGCCTGTAGTCCCAGCTACTCAGGAGGCTGAGGCAGGAGAATCACTTGAACCCGGGAGGCGGAGGTTTCAGTGAGCCGAGATTGCGCCACTGCACTCCAGCCTGGTGACAAAGTGAGACTCTTTGACTCTAAAAAAAATAAAATAAAATAAAAAAATAAAAATTGTAAAAATGGTAACAGATGTTCTCAAATATAAACTCATTAACCACATGTTTTTGGTAAACCTGATACAAATGAATAAAGAAGAAAAGTAATCAAAAATTTTAAGACAACTTCTAAAGCTTCATTTGATTATCTATTCCTAATAAACTAAACACATAAGAAAATGTTTCTGGCATAATTCAAATGATCAATCCTATATTAACCTGTGTTTAAATTCTCCAAAAAAGGGAAAAAAAACAACCTATGAATGTGTGTGTGCCTTGACATGAGTTTGATACAGAAATAGAATTTTGAAATCCAAATAATATGAAAAATCTAGAGTATTTGATTGTCATGTAGGAAGCATCTGGGATGTCAAATACAAAATAGAAAGTTTGAAAGAATTAATGTCCCAGTGATGGCAAATTTCTCCTAAAGTAGAAGTAAATTCTATGTTAAGAATGACTCAGCAGTTCCTTGACTGCATGCTTTTTTAAATTGATGAATTAAAAGAATAGCACAGAATGGAGTGAGAAATGCATATACATAATTCCTATAATGTTTAAAAGATGTTAGGAGGGCATTAAGTCAGTCTAACCTGAGATATGCCATAGAAAATTTCTCCACAAATGCACTAGTGTGCATATATATAAGCTATGTTCTTACCCCAGCTTGCATTCTTGATCATAAATTGTTTAAATTTTTTCTCACTAAATGAGTAATATGACTTAAGGATCTCTATGGCTTGAATATACATTATTTGTAATTTATCTTCAAAATATTCATTTATTTCAAAAACAATCTATTACTTAGAATAAGTAATTTATGTATGCCATGATTTAGCATCATACATTTTGTATCTTTGCATTAAATCATATGGGTGCTTCATAGCAAAACTGCATTAGAAAAATTCAACCAAGTTAAATGCTTCAGCGCACTTGTGTGTATCTGCCATATATTTAGATTTTCAACTGGAGTAGTACCATAATTATCCTAATGATTATTTTAAATACAAACATATATGGGACCTTGACAAATTCCACATAAACGAAGTAACAAAATGAAATTTAGAAATAACCTATTTAGGAAAACTTGTAACTTAAATCTTACCACATAATTATTTGCTCTCTATTTGCCTTTCTTGGAGGATAAAGAAAACATCAAATTTCACCTCTGAGTGAGCACACTCTATTTTGTCATGTCTAGCTAGAAATAGATAAACGTAGCCAGCCATTTCTCCTCTTCACTTAATCCTGGCCCAATCATTTCAAATGAAGAATAGCTTGTTACTTTAATGTAGGTTTGTCATGAAAAAAAGGTACTATTTTAGAAGAAATGAAAAAATAAAAGTGTAATTTGGCTACATTTTTGAGTATGCATTAGATTATAAGTAACTATCAAGAAAATTATGTTTATGTTTCTATTAACTTTTAATGTACACTGTTCACTTGCGATAAACTTAAAAAACAGCACTAGAGTTTTATGAACTGAATTTTACTTGCCAAGTTTTCCTCTGACTGATATTTTTTCCTGCAGAGATCTATTTTACTTTAGTACACTAAGGTAATTATGGTGAAAAACAGTCTGAATGACCCATTGTAATGATTAACATTTATGTTTTGTTTCTACAAAGGCAGGTAAGAAAGTAAATGCAAATTTAAAATTAGTGTAGCTGTATATGAGAAACAAAATTATCTAATTTCTTCCGAAGGGATTGTTATAGGCATTAACTATTAAAACGCCACCATCTTTCACCCAAATAATACTTATTTGAAATAAAAACTTTTTAAAAAGTTTTTGAATCTAATTATTAAGTTATAAAAATTCACAAAACAATATTCATAAATGTTATGACTTATTTTAAGTCATCTTTCACCTATAATACATAAGGATAACAAGTTTCTATTCATGCAAAGGTGTTAATTAATGAATGACAAACCCTTGCCAATTATTGACACATTCTTCCCTAATCCTGTTATGTGAAACATTTTAATGAAGTCATAGTTTATTACTAATGATATACTCTTGATTTTTTTTAACTATGGGAGAAAAATCAATGTAACTTATTTGGCTTTACCTACTTTTAAAATCACAGCAGTTAAGTAAGCTGCATTTTGTCCACCACATTTCATGTTCCATCAAAAGTTATGACCTCAGCCAACAAATCCAGGGCCTGGTCCTTCACACCTCTGGGAGATCTGCTAAAAACCTCCCTTTCAGCCCCATTATCTCCCTGGCCACAAAGGTGTCAGCTAATTATCTCTGAATAAGAATTGTATTGGACCTTAATTTTCAGTAACAGGATCTGACAGTGTGTAAAGAAGGAGAAAGGAACAATCCTTTTATCTTTCCCAGGTCATTTCTTTCTGGAAGCCAAGGGATGGCATAA
This sequence comes from Homo sapiens, assembly GCF_000001405.40. Lineage (NCBI taxonomy): Eukaryota > Metazoa > Chordata > Mammalia > Primates > Hominidae > Homo > Homo sapiens. Next base: position 103,121,474 of record NC_000002.12, read on the forward strand.
CTCATTCAGCATATACGATGAATGAAAACATGATCAAATTACAGTGTCCACATCTTCCTGTAGCAGCAAGTTTCTCCATCAAGAGGACCCAACTGAAATTGGACATTGTCCTGGGTCCCTTAGCTCTTTAAACCCACCCGGGAAAAGTTTTCACAAAATGATGAGAATGTTTGCAAGTAACCACACAAAAACTGTAATAAATCCACTTCTAGAAAGTAGATTTATTTTTAGTTCATTTGATTATAATCGTCATTGCAATTTTGGAAAACATAATATGTTTATCTCATTTCAAATAAAAATTATAGACTTTATAGCAGGATGAATATAGGTCTAATGTATCCTTTGAAAACTACTATATTAGCATCTCCTAAAATCTGAGCATTAGCTTAAGCAGTTTACAGAATAGAGCCAGTTAAAGAATGACAACAAAATCCACCTTAGATACTAGTATTTCTCTAACCTGTTGTTTACATGATTTTACAGTATGTGGTGTCAATTGGCTTGAGTTTAGAAGATAATTGCTTTACATGCAGCTTTGAAAAAGGACAACATTGATTACGGTTGTGTTCGTGTAGTAATTAGAGTTCATCTAAGAGAAGGGCTTTTTTGGCTGGTGTCTGGAAGTGTTAGGTGGACATCTAGTCCCATTTCTCCAGGGCTCCCTCCCTCCTCTTTCCCTTCTCCTCACAGCTTGTCCCAGGACATGGTGATAATCTGCCAGCACCCACTTTCTTCTGACTGACTGGAAGAAAGGCCTATAAGGTTGCATGAATTATTGTTGAGCTGCTGACAAGCTCTTCTCCTTTCCCTCCTCCAACCTCCCTGTTGTATGCACTTTTAGGGGGAAAAAACAGTGGCTGTAAGAAGGTCTCCTAATAGAGGGGGGTCATTGGAGGCTAAATGCATGGGCACACTGCCCTGTTGCCTTGAGTGGACTTGCCACTAAAAGTGAGCATCAAAGCAGAGATTCAGTGTGGCTAGAAGTGAAAGCTACTCCTTAAGGAGCTCTCAGTGAACAGGAAAATGTTACTGATTTTTTCTATGTGAGCTCCACTCTGTGGGAAAAAAGACAAGTGCTCTGAATCCTGTGTTGTTCCAGAGGAATTTGAGGGAGGAAGCAGGAAGAAGCTGGCCTTCTCCAGGCCCATGGCTTGTTTTAAGTGTGCCCCAGGAATGAGAAGAGGACAAAATGAATAGCAAGGAGAAGCCCTCTCACTCTCGTTACCCATACCCAGGCTGCTCCAGCTCCAGGACCCTGAATACGGGTCCTGCTGATGCCATGAGGGCCAGCGAGGGAAGGACGTGGGAAAGAATCTCATGGGCTCACAGGGAGCCTTGCCTCCTAGCTGTTGTGCAGAGTAGTTGTGGTAGCCTGGAAATATCACCAAATGATGGTTTTGGCTCTGTCATTTCACCTGGAAAGCACATTCTCACCTCCCACAGCACAGGACCTGGTACACGGGACACACTCTGTGGAGCATCACAGCCACCATTTGTCCAGCTGGCTGCCTGACATGGACACACGTTCTCTCACTGAACCTTCACAGTAGGCCCAGGAGGCACGCGCTAGGATGCCGCTTATTCAATCCATGAGGAAACTGAGGTTTGCTAACTTGCTGGGGGCCAGCCAGAGAGTAAAGGCAGCACTAGGAAGGGAATCGAGGTGTCTGTCTGAGAAGGTGCTTGAATCTCAGGCTCCAAAACACCCAGTAAATGTTCTTTGGAAGAATCATTTATATTGAACTTGGCCGTTTAACAAATGATTCCAACGCCTATTGCCTCAAGTGGCTCTTCAGCCTCGTTTTGAGGTTAATATGAACTTTAACTCCATTGTATAGTTGAGGAGACTAAGAAGATGTGGCTTTCTGGTGACAGAGCTTGCTACACGGGTCTTTCAATCAAAGTCAATCAAAGCCAGATGTCCTTCCTCACACCTCACCGTGTCTGCAGAGGGCCATGTGGCTTTTCTGAAGTTGCATCCCTACTCTACAGAGGGAGCGTGTGGCCATGCCAAGTCTCCCTTCTCCTGGGCGGTGCTCCTCGTCCATCCCTCAGCAGCCCAGGTGCCTCAGCTGCTGCCCTTGTCCCTCTCTGGATGCTCCAGTCACCTGAAACACTGATCCCTCCATGGGCCATTTCCAGAGAGGGGGCATTTTCAGAGCTCCTTTGTGTGTGGCTATATAATTTGTATAACAGGTGCCTTTCATTCCAGAGAGGCACTTATTCATTTATTCATTCATCAGCAAATATTTACGAACTCTGTAGTATGACAGACAGACACTTCACCAGACGGTGGTCTGCAACAGTGGGGAAAATTATCATGGCCCAGGTGACAAAGAGACTTGATTGTTTATTCCTTTCTTTTGATATTGAGATAGAATTCTTTTTGAAAAGTAGATTTCTGCTTTTACCACCACACTGCAAAATAAATCTTTCAAGCTCTAAGTATCCTTCTGGGCACCCCTTTTGCTGTCTCCTCTCCTGTGTAGAATAGATCTTGCTGTGAAGTTCTGTGCAGCTGGGTGGACATAAACACAAACAGAGGCAGCAATGTGACCATTTTCAGAGGTGGCAGTGGAACACAATGTTCAGAGAGAGATTTGCTATGGGGTCATAGTGAGATGGTGGTCGCATTAATGACCTTCTTGTGAATATCCCCCAAGATGTGACACAGAGTTTGTCTAAAAACTTTATTTAAAGGTGACATTAGGTAATCCTTTGAAAAGTTTTACCATAGAATTAGACACCAGTAAGTACTTAAGAAATGCTAGTATCATTCTTCCTGTGGTTTGAAGATAAAATACAATAACACATGTAAACAGAAATTTCACCAGAATGCTAATGTTATTATAAAATCATAGACCAAATAAACCTTTAAGATACAAGAATGTAAAAATCTCTAAAAAAACACTGGGATATAGTTATCAAAATCCCTACAGCACTCACTTTGCTCAACATCTAATAGTTGTGGTAGTTTTATTAAACCGGTGGCTGGGTTTAACAGACACTTTTTCCATGCCACAGCTGTCTTATTTACTTAAGAATAGATTAGGTAAGTGTTAAAGCTAAGCAACAAGCAATTCTATTATTTTCATTATACACATTTTAAAAATCTCATGTAGGTTTCTTTCTCTGGGATCAAAGCAAAAAAAGATCTGCTATCTCTAGAAACCTCAAAATGCTATATCCACACAATAGGGAACAGTTGCTTCTTTTAGAATTATATAGCTAGATGACAAATGGAAAAGAGAAATGTACTTATTTTTCTTAATTTCTCTATTCCTGAAAAACTTCTTGACATGAAAGTATTATCTAATCATGTAAAATGTAACATAAAGGGTTTCTATCATTTTGTTTTCTCAAGGATCTCTCTACTTTTAAGAATAGATCTTACTGTGAAGTTCTGGGTAGCTGGGCAGACATAAGCACCATCAGAAGTAGTAATGTGACCATTTTCAGAGGTGGCAGTGGAGGTGGCAGATGGGAAATCAATCTGATTCTTCGACGATAGTTCACATTAACATACAAGGTAATCTACTTCCTCAAGTTCACATATGGTAAAACTCAGATGACCTTATGGGGTTCCAGAGCTGAAGAAAAGAAGCAGGAGGAAATTTGGTTCTGCGGAGTGAAACCTATTTGCCCTGATGGACAGAGGAGGCCCATTCCCCCCCACACTTGTCTGTTTCTCTGACGCTGCCTTAGGACACATGTATGATTTTTTTTAAGTGAGTGGATATTTTGTTGTATATCTCATAAGTTATATTCATGAATGAAATAAAAATAAGAAATTTCATGAGATGAAAGAAAATATTAAAACCATCAATAAAATAAATTTCATAACACTGTAGTATTATAACAATTTAGATATTTTTTGTATCCCAGCTCAAGAGTATATCTCTCCTGGTATGCCCCTTGTTCAACTTTGTGTCTGAACTCAGAGATATTCTTGTGAAACAAAAGAAGAAATCCTACTTTAAGCAATATTCTTCAATATTCTATTGGCAAGAAAATAAAATGAAACTGTAATAAGGTTTTTAGAGGTACTGTATTTTGTAATAAAAATAATAAAATAACCATTTCTTCTTTTAAAATAAGTGTTTTCTGTTTCTAGATTTTGTCTATATAAAAACTAGAAAATAATTTATTGTAAGATGAAATCTTCATCACCTTTTTAAAAGTCATTTCAATAGAAGGTTTGTTTGACTGTTATATTTTAAGTTGCCTTTGACTCACTGGACAAATTAATTTGTTATCTCAGATATACAATTCATAGATTGTTTGCTAGATATTTAAATAAGAGTTTTAATGTTCTGATTATTTTTTATCCCATATACCTTGCCTCAAACTGATTACAGTATGCATTTTCTTAGACAGAAAATTTTTACAAAATTAAATACTGGAGATTAATTCTCATCCTTAATTTTATAGATTTCCAGAGGATAATTTATCTTTAGAAACTAATAGCATTGATTTAAAGAAAAGACTTCTCTAGCTTTCGTTTTACTATGTTATTACTTGTTTACATTTTAACCTATAATATCTAATTATTTAAATTGTAATTCTTAAGTGACAATTAATGGACCTATTTAAACATGTGCATTGATTTCTAAACTCCTCTAGCAGATATCAGTAACTTGCTTACACTGAAGATTTCACCACTAAGAGAATGTGTGTTTGGTTGCTGCACCATGTGAAATACTATAGTCGGAAACTATTGTACATTCAAATAGATAAATTATTAATACTCTCTGCTGCTGTTAAACAAGCATCACATTTGCGGCATTGAAATTCTGATTTGTCAACTATTGGGGGCTGTAACTATATTAAACAATGCATCTATGTGAGGGGGAAGATATTCTTTAGAAGGGGGATCTTAATCAGTTTCATGCTGAGCAAAAGAAAATTGTAAACTATGCATTAAAAGAAGATTTACTGAAAGTTATTTTTACTAGATCCACTGCATTCTAATTCACTGCTTCCCTTTAGCTTTCAATGATAATATACGTAATCTTCCAGACACATTCATGAGCAAAGTTTGATGTGGATTTACACTTGTGGAGCTACATTACAATGGATAGATTTAAGGTATTATAAAATGAGTTTTTGGATTTGTTACAGGGGTACGGAGCCCCTCAGTTACAGGCGGATAGGTTTTCCAACATATGGCAACCACCTTATTATAAAACAAAACAGTGTTAAGTCAAAGTACCTGATTACAATTCGCGACCGCCATGCAGCTACGATAGCCAGGCTTATATTTAATACCGCAGAAACAATATCATTTATTTTTCTGTCTTCTCTTATCCCTAAGTTATTGGGTTTGTAGGCTTTGAAACCTTAAGCAAAAGGATAAAATACAAATTATAGAAAACATTGGAGTATGGAGAAATCAAATTACATTCTCCACAATCCTCAAAAAGATAGTTCACATTCCTCACGTGCAGTCTGGGCGAATCCTCATCACCAGAGAGCTTTCAGGAGGATAATTAGTAGTCTTTGGGGTACAAGGAGAGCATTCAAATTGTACTAGGAAGAGCCAATTCTACTAACGAGTTAATTTCCAGCTTGAAATAATAATTATCCAAGTTTTTTCCAATAAAACCTATTATTGAGAGTGTTCAAATAATTAAAAATATTGTCATGTGTTCTTTAGATACAATGATTACCAACAGAGGTCTAGGAGAAGGTGTATTCTATCTTTAAAAAGTGGGTAGGTTTTCCTTGTTTTTAGCTCTCTTTTCAAATTTCAAATTCATTATGAAATTGTGCAATTTTGGAAGTTGGTCAGAACATGAACATAAAGAAAAAATACATTCACCATCGAACACAGAGGAAAGCAAATTCTTTTGCAACATCAGTTTCTAATAAGTAAGATCTTTGTAGAAACTTCAGTGAATGACAAAAAAAAAAAAAGAATTGTTAGTGAATAGATGTATTCAATTGGGTGTAATAACTAGTTAATTTATAACCAATCAAAGTTAAAGCTCCATAGGCTTGTCTTAGACTCTTGTTCCCATTCACTGTTCTCTTATTAACAAGGCTTTAATTCCAGTGGTGACAGACAAAAGCATGGGACTCTAATGAACTGTCTGCTCTGTGCAGAGAGCTGGTGGTAATGTCGAATGTTAGTAACAATAATGATAATCTTTAGTATTTTTAGCTTGTCAGAACTTGCACAGCTAACAACAACCAGTCTTTTACTAAAACTCTACCTCATCAAACTAACTTAATTAGCAATTCAACTCCTTATTTTTGTTTTGGATACCCCTCTGGCTACTAATTAAAGCTTAATCGAAACCGCTGAACTGAGGTTGTAAAGAATTCATTAATATTAAAATTAGCCCCAACAATTTTTTTGGGGGCTGGTGCAATTTGTATTTGTTACTGTCAGGGACTTGAAACTCAGTTGAATTGTTTAAAACGCCTTACAAGAAATTCTCGGTCTGCCATACATAAGAGCTGAGCATATACGACAAATGCCAATAGTTACAAAAACATCATTTCTGACCATGCAACTTAGTCCACTTGGGCCATTTTTAAATATATTTAGCCAAATTATAACTTAGCATTTTTTTCTGAAGTCATTCACATTGCTTTATCCTCCTAAGTGGTTTCATATTTTGGATAAAAGAGAAGAGAAAGAACTCTGGAAAAAATTTCAAGGATTGATTTTTATGTATTATCTTGACAAGATTAATATGTTTGAAAAATGAACAGATTTAGCTCTTCACTTTGATTCTTCCACTTTTTGTAGCATCAAAGATTACTCTAACAGCGGTACTGGTCATTCTGAAAAGTAAAATCAAATGAGTACAAAACCCAAATGCTCTGTACAGGACACACTTTTTTAAAAAATGAAATCTGATCTTTTATCAGGAATGGTTGAAAAGGAAATGTAATACCTTTTTTCCTCTAATAAAATGATCATGTCAGTGTATGCCTGAAGTTCTTTTTCAGATGTCTATTGATGGTTTAAATAGTAAGTTTAAACTATTAGATTTTTTTAGTTCACATCAAAAAACCCCTTATTCAATATTTAGATATTTGTAAATATTCTCAATTTCAATGAGACTGCATTTGTTTTCCAGCATATGACATGTAAATGCAAATTGAAAATGCTTTTTATCATGGCGAACAGGAAATAATTTTCATAAATCAAATCCCCTTTTCATTTTAATTTTTGATATTTTAATAATTTTGTGAAAACATGTATATTTATTTTACCCTTCAGGAAAATTCCAAGTATGTAAGAAACAAACTTGTTGGCACTAAAATATACAGCAACTAATGCTATTTAGCATATCTATTAAACTAGAAAATTAAAATACATCTCTAAAAAGCAAAACTTTATCAAAATACACATGAAAATTATACTTGCATTTAAGTCACATTTAGATAAAATTTGCAACAAAATAACTACTCACACATTTTAAAATAAATATATGCCCATTTTCAAACCCATGGATTAAATTAACAATGGCATGTAAGGCACACAATTTTAAATCCTGGTGACAATTTCCATGAAGTTATTCAAATACATTTTGACTTCTGACAAGAGGATGTAATTTATAAAACAGAACATGCCTATCAGTGGAACTTAAATTAGCATAATGAGGATACTTTCATTTCTGCAAGCACAGTTTTTGACATCCCTATGTGGAGCTCTTAGAAGAAACCAGTAAAAAAAAAAAAAAAAAAAAAAAAAAAGTGAATATACAGAAGTAGAAAATTATGAATAAAATACCTGAAAACTTTACCTGATTTCAGTAACAAAATAAATTTTACTTTCAAAAAAATCATTTCTCAAACTGATAAAAATGTTTCTTAAACGTAGAATACTGGAACACAGCCTTCAGCTGCCGTTATCCATATAAACTAAAAGAAGTGTTTTGAGGTTATCATTGCATGACAAGAAACACAGACATTCATGTTAGGCAATTTTTATCAGTGCTTTGAGTTAATTTACTATTGTGTTTCATATAAATCCACTGCAATCATAAGTATAACCTTTTAATACTGTTCTACAGTATTGTATTTCTGGTGAAATGAGGCTCGTTGTTGAGTGATTTGGCTTATATGCAGAAACATACACCAAATTGTTAAGGGAAAATAGATACTTTTTAGCTTACACAATATTGAACCATATTAACCACAGAAAAATGTTATTTATATCAGTGAATTTTGCCCTGGCCTGAAAAAGGATGAAAGAAGCCATCAATTCTTTCCACAGTATTTGAAGAAAAAAAAATGAAGCAGTTAAACAAGTAAAAACAGCAAATAAATTTGAAGCTTAAGTTATAAATATTATCTGTTTATAATGTTAAAAAAGAAAATATTTATAGTTTTTATATATACCTTTAAAAATATTGCTGATATTCTTTAGATGTATCTGAATTCGATGTCCTTAAGGAAGCTAAAGAGACCATCAGTATCAACATCTTCAGACAAAGGCTTCAATCATTTTACACCAAACCAGATTTGATAAGAGCTGCTTTACAACTGAAATACCTATAAAGGAAAATTTCCTGAGGCCTTCTCCTAAAAGGATATAGAAGACTATGCATTTGCTCAAGAAATCCGCATATTATATTTCAGGTCTTTCAGGAATGACACTTTCATATGAATGTGATATTAAAATGATATGATTCTAAAGTGGAACACAGGCGATGACTGAGGGATTATTGCATTTTACCTTTATTGTTTTAACTATACCTCTACCTGTAGCCTTCTCAATGGGTCTGCATTCCTTTTATTTATTTATGATCCTAACTTAGGACATTGCTAGCCATACAATTAAACACATCATTTTTGGGATTATATAAAACCTGTATGTTACACACAGGTTCTAAAAAAATTTTTGATATTTTTCAATATATCAGCCTTATTTCACAGTACTTTCTGCTTTTTTTTTGTTTGTTTTCAGTATATAGTTCAGGTCATTATTACATTTTGAGTTTTACAGTGATACAATGTATAAATATATCATTTTAGTTTTAAATATAGCACTGATCTTAACTAGCAGCAAAGGTCTTATTAAAATGCTTTAAAAGATCATGTAATAATCATAGCCAAAATAACATATACCTAGCAATGATATAAATATTCTTTCTGTTCTCTTTTATCACTTCTCCTCTCACCCATAAATACTTAATGCAAAAACTGCTATTACTTTTCAAATGTTAGTAACAAAAAAGGATGCCATACTTAATTTTTATATATCCCAAATACCACTTTAACATTTATTTCTATAAATGGAATTGGTGATAAAGGAATTGATATAATCGTGAAAAGCCTACTTCTCTGAAATTAATAAAATTATTATCTATGAAATCATGATTTTAATAAGTAAAAATACTAAAAGGTTTTCTGAGCACTTAACTGCAAATTTGTAGTAAAGTAATATCACAAGAAGAAAAATGTGGCTTTTGTATATAAAATACCACTGGGTTTTTTTGTGCCATATTTTTCCTAGGTAAAGACAAAGAGGGAGAGTGGAGGGGTTGGACTGGGGTATGGAAGGGAGAACTGGATGGCATCTAGAAAATAAAAATGACCTGAACTTGCATCAGCCTATCATCCAGTGCTGCATGGTGGCTCAGATCTGGCCACCGTGAATGAGCTCATTGGAGCTATCTTTTATATTGTCTCCTGGGTCTGACCTGTAAGTGTGACTAATTTATAGGAAATTTCCTAGACTCCCTTTACAATGTTCTACTAATTACAGTGAGGGAAAGTCAGTGATAAAGAAGCAAAAAGAAAAGGGGAAAAGGAAAATGGGTGAACGGAGGAAGGAGGAGTTAGTGTTTCATGGGAACAGAGTTTCAGTTTTGCCAAATGAAGAGTTCTGTAGATAGATAGCAGTGACAGTTGCACCACAATGTGAATGCACTGAATGCCACTGAAATGTACACTGAGAAGTATTTCAAATGGTAAACTTTATGTTGTATGTATTTTGCCACAACTTAAAAGTATGAAAAAAGAAAGAGGGACCGGTGGCTCACACTTGCAATCCCAGCACTTTGAGACGCCAAGGCGGCCTTTGGGATCACTTGAGGTCAGGTGATCTGCCCTGGCCAACATGGTGAAAACCCATCTCTACTAAAAATACAAAAATTAGCCAGGCCTGGTGACACACACCTGTAATCGCAGCTACTCGGGAGGCTGAGGCAGGAGAATCACATGAACCTAGGAGGTGGAGGCTGGAGGGAGCCAAAATTGCACCACTGCACTCCAGTCTGGGCAACAGAGCAAGACTCTAAAAAGAAAGAAAGAAAAGAAAAGGAAAGAGAAAGAAAGAAAGAAAAAAGAAAGAAAGAAAGAAAGAAAGAAAGAAAGAAAGAAAGAAAGAAAGAAAGAAAGAAAGAAAGGAAGGAAGGAAGGAAGAAAGAAAGAAAAGAAAGAAAGAAAGAAAGAAAGAAAGAAAGAAAGAAAGAAAGAAAGAAAGAAAGAAAGAAAGAAAGAAAAAGAAAGAAAGAAAAACAGAGAGAGAGAAAAAGAAAGGAAGGGAGGAAGGAAGGAAGGAAGGAAGGAAGGAAGGAAGGAAGGAGGGGGAGACCATTTAAATGAATTGTAGCTTACATATTGCCAGTGAGAAGGAAATTAATAAGCTAAAAACCTCCTGAACAGCTGTAGACAGAGGAGGGTGCTTTTTACGTGTTTTAAGAAGAATATTGAGGTCTGCGACTTGATAAAGCAGGGCCTGCATGTCACACTCCTCTGAAACCTGCAGTATTCCCAGGACAGAAGCTGCCCTGTTGGAGATGAGAGGGAGTGGAAAGATGCCATTTCCCACCTGACGGGCAGCAGACAATTCAGACACATTTATAGCAACATCCAGAATTGCTCAGACCTGAAAAACCATTAATAAAAATCGAAATCAATGGATAGAACAGAAATGCAGTTAATGAAGTGGTAACTGTAAGTTCTGAAATTTGAGCAAATGTCACTAAGAATGAATATTCTCTTAAAAGCTCCTCTTTTTAAGTACAGGTGATTGTTTCAATTCCAAATGCCAAGAAGATGATAGTGGGACAGTGGGTTTCTGGGGAGGGAAGGAGACAGATAACAAGTGAGAAGACCACAGGATGCAGTTAGTTATGTACAGGCTTAACCAATTCTCTGGTGCAGCAGCATCATAATTCTGATAATATCAGAATAGTGAGACAGCTAGGTGGGAGTGGGTCTCTGGAGAAACTCCAACCAGTCTGACCACTGAGGTGGAGCCTCAGCAAGTTCACAAGTGTGCAGCGGGGAGGAGCCTGGCCCTCCCTCTTCCTGTGTGAACCTGAGAGTCAAGCTCAGGGCAGGAAGCACTCCAGCAGATACCTCGGTAAGAGTCCTCTTTTCTTCTTTTTTACCCAATAAAACCCTGTCTTAAAAATTGTCTGTGAGCCTAAATTTTCATGGCCATGGGACAAAGAACCCTGTCTTTAGCTAGGAAGTAAGGAAAAGTCCTGCAACAATAGTACCAGATGAAAACTGTGGTTTGTAGTCTAAAAACATCACTTAAGTTAACAAGTTAGTGCACTGTATATCATTCTGATTTCCATATTGTAATGTTGAATGGATTGTGGAGTCTCTATAGAGCCTGAATTAAAGATGTTTCTCAGATCATTAAAAACAAGTAAACTTTGTCAGACCAACATGACATACCCTGGGTGGGTAAAATATGTTTCTCCCTGATTGGTTTAACAAGCCTGAGAGCTTGGTCTTGGTATTATACACATTACAGTAACATTGGAGAAAATTTAACCATTTGTTGTCAAAGATTAGGAGTAAATGAATTATAGCCAGAATGCCTAACAATTAAAAGCCAACTGCATAATTAAGAAGATCAATTCTACAATATTTCAAATGATTTGTGAATGGACTTTAAAGTGAACATTGTAACTTACATGCATTTTGTGCTTGTAATTATAAAACATGCACAAAATTTTAAACAAAGCATGTTCTCCCAACTGTCCACCACTGCACTGCTGACACCTTATTAATGGGTAATATATAGCTTTGCTTAGAGCATTCGTCAGCCTATCAGCTAAAGGAGTATAAACAACACTCTTTATAACTGGAATGTTTAATATACAGTATACAAGTTTGTATTTAAAATTAACTCTTGAAGTGAATATTTAAAGCCCTGTTATTATAGTCTACAATGACTTTAATATTCATTTTATTTATTTATTTAAATATATACTCTTCAGTTTCAAAAAATAAAAAATTAAGTAATTTTTGACACATTGTATTTTGATGGATGTCAAAATTGATATTTCCTTTATGAAAATCTGCAGAATATTCTAAATTAATTGTAATACATCTTTTACTAAAAAGTATTGAATTATATAACATTAGAAGACAATCAATTTTTTCTTAGACTTCAAGAAGATATGAATTACAAGCCTAATCTAATAGCAAATGTATAAGTCTGCACAAAATACATTAGATTTTCAAAAATTTGGGTGATTTTGATATTTCTTTTTTAATATTTAAATTAACAAATATTAAGCATCTTCATTTCTCTAGATCACATAATAATGAATGAAAATTCTGAATAGTTTAAATAATTTAATAGAAAACTAAGTTTATTTCTAAATATGTAAAGAAATATATTATTACTCACATAGTTTTTCCCATTAAAATTAGTTTGCAGTGTGCAAAACAGATCATCAACATTTCAGTAAAGATCAATGATTTAAACTATTGATCATAATTATGCCCATTGAAAAATGTCTTTTTTTCTGTTAGAATTCATAAATAATGTTTATTGAAGAAGTCATGTATTAATTCTACTTATTAGTTTATAGTTGATTCATCAACAAAAGCTAATTATTCTCAACATATTATTAGTTATGACATGTCAGCCAGCATCTCCTAGTCCTTTTACTTTTTCTTTACTCAGAGGACAAATATGGGTGATTTCTCAAACTACATTAGATAATTTAAGCCTTTGTTTTAAATCTTGTCTATTAAATTGTTTTAGGCTTAGTCATAATATGCTATTAGCATAAATATAGACATACATACAACATTCACACAGCCAAAAGCAAAGGATATTATTTAGTGATCTTTTCCCCTAGAATATTTAAGAAAGTTATACATAGAACCCAATAAATTATGGATTCAAAATATAGTCTTAAATCCAATTATTGGAGAAACCAGTTGAAAGCAGATTAACTTGTCTCCTACCTTGGGCACCATTTCAGCTGAACAATTGTAACGCTCTTTGTTAATACCAGCTAAGCAACCTCTTTGGGATAGCTCTCCACAACTTTCTTTTTAGGAATATCTCTGTAGACAATTTTTACCCAAATCCAGTTATTTGAATCATACAGGGATTAAGTTGCTTGCAGGATTTATGCAAGGTTAATTTCAGGGACAGATTGTAGTTTACTACAGTGAGCTTTGAAATACTACAATAGCAACAAATAATAAAAGAAGGAGGAAAAAGAGAGAGAGAGAAAGATTGAGTGCTCTACCTTAAGAAGGGCACCCACAGATTCCTCTAATTTCATGTCACTTGTGAGTTGGTGACTGTAGGCACAGTGGAAAGCATGGTACAGAGAACAGAGCAGGAAACAGCTTGCCTAATCACGTATAGTGGCAGGTGCTCTGGAGTCCAACTGCCTTATCTCCACTTTTTATTCCTTGTCAGAATACATCCTGGAGAATAATAACTTATTTTCTTTGACTTTAATAAATAGAAATTTAGCAATGGTCGTAATGTAGCACATGAGGTCAACATTCCTAAAAAGAAAGAGAAGAAGTAGAAGGTGGACTTTGGTTCACAACTTTTTACAATATAATTAATTATGTTTCAGTGACTTCAACGTCAGATTGATTATCAAATTGTTTCTTTGTGGCTAAAGCTATAAAATCAAGAGTGTGTGAAAGAGAGATTTGAATAGGAGTTATATGGAGAGAGGGGGAGAAACGTGTGGAACAGTTAACTTTGGAAACATTTGTTAATATTCACTGCACAGATGGGCACAGCATGTGCCGATGGGGGCACACCTGAGCTGGAGAACAAGCTGCCTGAATTTCGTGGGGACCCTAATTATAAACAGACAAGTGGAGAGATGCCACAGGTCAGCCAGCAGGGTGAAGGGGGAAAAGGAAAGTGCCAAATTCCCAGTGTTTCCCAGAGAATAATAAGATCTACAACTTTCATAACACCTTCCATCTGAAAAAGAACAAGAGACAGATGTGTCATCAAAGAAGATGGTGCTGGCCAGTCTCCATCCTCGCTCATTACTCTGATTTACATTTACTCACTTGCTCTTATCTTCTCTTAGTCTCACATTCCGGGTTGAGTCTGGTCATGAGGCAGGCAGAAAAGAAAAGGAAACCACTGGATATGGGATTTCCACAGGAACAGTATTTTCTTGGGACTTCATTTTACCCACAGGGTAGGACTTCCCCGCTCATTGTCTCATGTGCTTACTCATGGGGACTTTCCAATCCTGCAGCCACAACGTGATCCCCAGGCTCCCAATGTCCACACCAGGGTTAGCCCAGCTCTGTGGTCCTATTGATATCAACATCTCCTTATTTCATCTTTGCACGCAACCAGATCATAATAACGTCCTTTGAATGTTTATCTTAGAAAAGCTAATTTCTGAAATGCTGTTTTATATTCCTTGTATCTCAATTTGTTTTCCTTCTTTTTAGTTCCATAGGCAGTATCTTCCTGAAGGCTGTCATTTTCCCTTTTGCGTTTATATTACTGAGTAATAGCATTTGAACCCTCTCCAGGACTTCCAACTTCTACATGGCTGAGTGGTTCTCTGTGGAACTTAGCTTTGCCTGGGAGTTAGAATTGTGCTTACTCTAATTTACTTAGAATTAAATGCAAATAAACTTTTCATAATAGACCTGGGATGGGCAATTACATATCAATAAATACGTAAAACTGTATTATTGATGGATATAGAGCATTATATTTGATTTTTCAATCACTGAATTGTAAACTCAAGCACAAAAGAAGGCAACCATACCCATTAGATTGCACTTGGCTGTGAGTTTTGGAAAACTCAACTGATGGTGGCTTACAAAAATGATGTTTATTACTGACTTAGTAACAAGTCCTGGAATAGGAGGCCCGGTGTTTTTGGGTAGCTTGTTGTATTAGTACGTTTTCACAGTGCTGATAGACATATCTGAGACTGGGTAATTTATAAAGATAAAAGGATTTAATGGACTTACAGTTCCACCTGTCTGGGGAGGGCTCACAATCATGGCAGAAGGTGAAAGGCACATCTTACATGGTGGCAGGCAAGAGATAATGAGAATCAAGCAAAAGGGGAAATCTCTTATAAAACCATCAGATCTCATGGGACTTATTCACTACCATGAGAACAGTATGTGGGAAACTTCCCACATGATTCAATTATCTTCCACCAGGTCCCGCCCACAACAGGTGGGAATTATGGGAGCTACAATTCCAGATGAGATTTGGGTGGGGACACAGCCAAACCATGTCACTCATCATTCTGAAGGCCAGAGATTCTTCCTGAGCACCTGCTGGGACTACTTCAGCAGGATGGGGATGGCTTTTTTTCTGAAAGCTTCTTTCTTCACTGTGAGAAGCTGGAGGCCACAACTACAGGCATAAACATCCCTGTCACAAAGGAGATGATAGGCAGGGTGTTGACTTTTTGGTGAGAGGCTTCCTGTTACCCTTCTTTTCTTTTATCAAAGAGAAAAAATATTCCTCACGCTCCTCCAGCTGGCAGTTCCCTTCTGCCTCATTGGCCAGAGCTGAGTCATAGGATCCTTTCCAGCTCTTGGGAAGTAACTTTCAGCGTCTCTGATGGGACAGGGGAAGGAAAAGAGGGCTGAGAATGGCTGCTGAGGAAACAGCCTGGGGCATCAAGCCCCACTTTGCTTCCAAGCAGGGGCAAGTTTAGATCCACGTACATATTTGGAGATATGTTAAAAAATTTTTTTTAAATTTTTTTTATTTTTAGACAGAGTTTCGCTTTGTCACCCAGGCTCTGGAGCACAGTGGTGCGATCTTGGCTCACTGCAAGCTCCACCTCCCGGGTTGACCCCATTCTCCTGCCTCAGCCTCCGGAGTAGCTGGGACTACAGGCACCTGCGACCACTCCCGGCTAATTTTTTTTGTGTTTTTAGTAGAAATGGGGTTTCACGGTGTTAGCCAGGACGGTCTCGATCTCCTGACCTTGTGATCCGCCCACCTTGGCCTCCCAAAGTGCTGGGATTACAGGCGTGAGCCACCGCGCCCGGCCAAAAACTTTTTTTAAGAATATTTATTTTGAGGGGTGCGATGGTTAATATTGAGTGTCAACCTGGTGGGATAGATGGATGCAAAGTATTGTTCCTGGATGTGTCTGTGAGGGTGTCACCAAAGAAGATTAACATTTGAGTAAGTGAACTGCGAGATGCAGACCCACCCTCAGTCTGGGTGGGCACCATCTAATCAGGTGCCAGAGTGGCTAGGATAAAAGCAGGCAGGGAACATGGAAAGATGAGACTGGCTTAGTCTTCCGGCCTACATCTTTCTTTCTTGCTGGATGCTTCCTGGTCTCGAATATCAGACTTCAAATTCTGCTTTTGGACTCTTGAACCTTTGACCACAGACTGAAAGCTGCACTGTTGGCTTCCCTACCTTTGAGGTTTGGGGACTGGGACTGGGTTCCTTGCTACTCAGCTTGCAGACGGCCTATTGTGGGACTTCACCTTGTGATTATGTGAGTCAATACTCCTTAATAAACTCCCTTTCATATATACATCCATCCTATCAGTCCTGTCCCTCTAAAGAACCCTGACTAATACAAGAGAGAAGGGCACTAATACCAAGACAGCAACAACAACAAAAAGCCGTAATGAATGAGAAATGAAGCATGAGATCTTTAAGGCAGAGGAATTGACGGTAAGCAGAAAGCTGATGCTCTATCTATCAATCATCTAGCTAGCGAAAATTTAGTTCATAAGCAGGCTAGTTTCTCAGACAGATTCACTAGCAAAACTTTGTGCATCTGATTTGCTTCAATCTGCATTTGTTCTCAATAAAATAACAAACATTAACTCATTATAATCTGGATAAGCATTTATTCATACTTGAAGGGATAGTGGCATGTGGTTTGAAGTAAAAGAAAGTTAAATTTCAGTTTCACCAAATGACTTCCCTTTTCTCTTAATCTGCAGAATAAAAGATAGGTGTATGCTTTCTAAGAAAAAGAAACCATCAGGCAGTGGGCAGGAAGTCATGTTGCAAGGGATTACCTAGAACAACTAGCAGCAACAATCCATGGGTCACTAACCAAGGGTGAGTTGCTCCAAGGCTATTTACTCCACTAAATCATGTCACTCAGCACAGTGGGAACTGAGTACATCCAATACCATTGAGGACCCACTTTGCGTTAACTAATCCTTGCTCATGTGACTTCTGAAATAATTCAAGTCACTATTCAAGTTTAATTTTGCAACTCTGAGTTTAGGAGTTTAGAAGTCAAGTTTTGAGAAAATAAGAGGCATTTCAAAGTGGCACTCACTTTTAACAGGGCCTTCTGGAGTATGGCTTTGAATAGCAAGTGCTTTAGAGTTCTTCAGACTTAAACTTTTACTTTTCTTCTGTTCTGTCTGTTGCCAGCTCACTTAATCATAGGTATAGCGGTAGCATTCACTTCCCCACTTATAAAACACAAGCAATCATGTTTTCCCCTTCACTGTGGAAGAGTGAAAATATTATTTTTATCTCCCAGCTGTTTTTAATTTTACTTCTCTCATGCCTTTAGCCCAGTATACACCAGTCCTTTTCGATGGGCTTAACTCTCTTGGCCTCCAAAGTGACCCAGAATGAGGTTTGTCATCATCTGGTTGTTTGAGGATACAAAGGAAATCCAGAGGTGAGGCAGGAGTTCCAGATTCTTTCATAGTAATGCCCAGCATTGGTCCTTACCAAAGCTCTCATTGCTAGATATCTAGTGTCACTAAACCCATTTCATAGAGTCAGAAGGGGAGGAACACAGGGGTGAAGTCAGTTTCTTCAAGTGACAGGGCCAGTGTTGGCACACAGGCAGCCTGAATCCACAGCCCCTGCCCTCAACCTCTGTTTTGTGGCCCCAAGTTGGGCCTAAATGTAGAAGGAGGCTCCCAGCCTTTCAGGAGAAACCTTACTCAACCAGGACACACTTCCTGCCTCTGCAGCTGTGTCTCTCCCAGGCTCCCGGACAGGAAGGCACCCAGGGCTCTCAGAGTAGGGTTTCACTCATATCCCTCCTAGCCATCAACGTGGGGAGCATCATCAGGAAAGTCATGGTCCTGTCACCACAAGCTCAGCTTTATCAGCTTCTTCAGTCACCTGGGAGAGGCATTCTTATCTCTGTTCCACTTCCTCATCTCCACTAGAGGTCAAACACAAACAGCAATAGCCACAGACAAGCTCCATCACAGTCTCCATTCCATGCCCGCCTCCTCCTGGCGCAGGCAGGTTGAAACTGCCGCTTCTTCTGGGAGGCAAGAAAGAACCAAATAGAGTTTCTTTCTCTCTCAATTTCCTTGGGTTTTAATTTGAAGAAAAAGAGAGAGAACTGCAGGGGACCAAGTCATTCTTCTAGGGCTCCATCAGCAGCCCTTGCCTCCTGCAGCTGTTCTGATTAATGGCTGTGCCTCCTGCAGAGTCCCCGTAATAGGTGTCAGGAAGGTGTTTACTCAAAGTTTTACACCCAATTGTCATGAAGGTCAAAACAATAGGGCATCTCCCATGCAGGTTAAACATCGTTTTATGAGTACACACTGTATTAGAGCAAACTCCACTCTGTTTTCAGGCTGCTGACTAAAGTCTGTGGGTCCTTGCTACTTTCTTCCAGGCTGACTCAGCAGGGCAGGTCCAAGGTAGAACTGTGGGCACAAGTCAGCAGCATCTGGGCTCAGAGGTGGGCTTTGAGCCTTCAGACGACCACCAGTGAGATGCAGATGCCCACAGGTCTCTCCAGCTTTGGAGCACGTGTCTGCTTTCAAAACTCTGAAACATTTAAAAATCAAAACAGTGATATCAAAACTCCTTTCCCAAGAAAGAGGAGTTCATGCAAAATAGAGATCATAATTTCTTAAAATTAAAATGCTTCCTTTTGGTACATTAAACACTGACCTTGAACCCCCAAGTTGGTTATCCTCTCCCTTAATCATCTTCTTTCATTGTCCCCTCAGCCTCTCTACCTTCTGCACACACAAACTCCAAGAAATAGAGAGCAAAATGCTACACATTGGAAATATTGTCTCCCATCTGCTATCCACAGGTGTTGCAGAGGAGATTTTTGACCCTATATCTGAGGAAAAGAAAGCCAAAGTTCAAAGTGAATTTCCTAAACATCAGATGCTCTGAAAGTGCTGCCTTATGTTGGTTCACACCATGCCTAGAGCCGTCTTCAGTCCTGTTTTGTGCTGTTACACATGAGGCACCTTTTGCAGATTGGAATGCAACAAAGACCGGAAGAGCCCCTTGAATTCCCCTAGTCCTCTCTGAAGAGTAGAGACTCCTATAGAGTCAATCGGATTGATTTTAACCTTTTCAAAAACCCATGTGGATGCTATATTTCTCTTTAAAGGAGGATAATTATTTAATTATCTTCATGAATGCCCATGACACTTTGCACATCTGTGAATGGCCACTCTTTCCTCTCTAAATCTGGAGATGAGTTTAATGCCTTTTCAAACCATTAAATGTATTGGTTTTGACATTAGATAAATGCAATAACATAGCACATGTTCAGAGGGAAATTAATTATACAAGTATTTATTGAAAACTGATCATTGGCTAAAATCTATGGGATGGATGAAACACAATGAAAAAGAAGGAGGAGGAAGTAATCATGTAGATAGGGTTGCAGCAGATGGCCAGGCATGGACTGGGGAGATGAGAGCAGAGAGGCAGGAGGCAGCCTGGGTGCTAAGCCCTTTTCCTGCTCACAACCCTGTGTACATGACCTAGGCTCTACTGGTTGCCTCATTTGTGGGTATAGAAACTGGTGTGGAGAGAAATGGAGAGCTTGCTGCAAGTTGTGCTAGTCAATTTACTGTCTCGCCCCAGGGCTGTTACACCTAAGCTAGACAGTGTGTAGGCTCTGCTTGTAGATGATCTTGTGAGGTATACTATAGAATCAGGATGTTAACTTTAGGCAAAAAGGTGTGAGTTTTAAACAAAAGAATGTGACATCTAGATAATTCTAATGGCACTGTGAGCTGCACAGTGGGGTACTGGTGCAGGCATGGGAGTGGGGAAACGGATGAAGGCCCATGAAATCATTGCTCTGAAGGAAGAATCTATGTAACCCTCTTGAGAGATTCAACATACAAATGAACACTTGTCAGATCATGTATACAAATAGAACTCTGACCCATAATCTGCAGCAATCTGCCCAGGAAACAAACCTATTATCTACAACAACCAGCCCAGGAACCAGCCTGCTATCCTTAAGTCAGAAGTTCAGGCAGTCAGACCGCTATCTCTAGCAATAATCCTCAAAGCAGAACAGTAACCCCTGGAACAACCAGCTCCAAATAATTAAAAGCTTCCTAATTTCCCACCCATCCTCATCCCCCACCCACTTCCAAGTTAGGACCAGCTAGAGAAACCCAAACATGCCCCCCTAAGCATCACATAGGAGTCCAGGCTTCTAGTTAGCCTCCTCCAGCTCCCCCACACCAACAGCCTCTTCCCTGCTTTCTACCACGAAGCTTTCCCAGCCCTCTGGCTGCCTTTGGGTCTCTGTCAAACTCAAGTGCTGGTGGTCAGCTCCCTTGCTATGACAATCTCTGGATAAATAGCATTTGCTTGATCTCATTTGGATAGTCTTCCTTTATTTCCACATTTGTCTCCTGAAATACACAAGTCTATTAATGGAGATTGTCTATCCAACATTTAAAATGAGTAAACTAAAGCTCAGAGAAGCAAAGTTAACCTTGACCTCCAGTGCAAGGTCATGGAGCAGGTCAGAGGGAGAATTTAAATCTAAGTCAGACTGATACCCAAACCTATGCATTTAGTCACTCCGATGTCACTATCTCTTCATTTTTAGAATCGAAGAAAGGAGCTTCAGAGTTAGAAATTTGACTTTGAGAATTACTTCTGCAATGTTAACATTAGCTAACACTGTATCCTAGCCCATGGCTGGCATCTGATAATATTTTTATAAGTAAAATGACATTTGCATGGCTAATGGCCTCTTTTTAGAATGATGTGGAAGGTGAAGATCCCTTGTGTCCACAGTTGGTTTGTATGAGAAAACCTTGTCAGCCCTTCCCCTCTGCCATTCCTAGCTTTAGAAAACTTGAGGGATCTGTCCACCTAGCTGGTTGTGGATTTTTTAAATACTAAAATTGGAATATGATGATTGTATCTTGTGTCTGCTGATGAATTTGTGAGATTCAAATGACCTCATATATGTGAAAGCACTTTGTCAACTGTAAACTGCAGTATTAATCTAAGATATACTCAAAATAGTTACTAGAACTAATGTTTGACTTTGAAAGATTGTAAAAGAGGCATCAAATCTTAAAAGTGTTTTCAAGTACCTACAGCTCAATCATCCAATCTGCAAACAGCCACATACATCCCATATGGAATGACACAACATCAGTCTCATGGTCCCAAGTGGAATGTGAACTGCCAAGAAAGCTGAGTAAGGGCCTGTCTCTGCTACATACAATAGTGAGGGCTTTGGTGTCTGGTCTTTCTGAGCAGTGTTTTCCTTATCTCCTAGGTTGACAGGATCATCTCTGTCCAGCCTTCCTGGCGGGTCCTCTAGTGCATTTCCAAAGAGCTAATTCATAAGGAAGTGTTCTGTTAACTGTGAATGCCTACATAAATGCAAAGTACCACAATGTTGAATTTGAAAAGTGCTATTTAAGTGCCACTTATTATTACAGTGGTTATTGTTATAGTTGAAGAGTATAATGGATTTCAGCAACTAATGGTATGGATATATAATCTTTTACCACCACAAAACCTCCCTCGATGTTTTACTTTAATAACTATACTCCCTTTCATCTGTAGCTATATACTGATGTAATTAACCTTCCCTAGATTATGTGTTTTGCTTTTAATTCTAGATACACAACTTAGAATTATTTTGTTGTACTTACCCCTATAAATAGGCCCTATATCACTTCTAAATTACATAGCATTAGGGAGCATGCTACCAGGAGTACCACACTTATTATTTTCCATAAATATATTATGTATGACAATATCTTCCTACATGTGCAGCTTTAGTTATGACTTAGTGGATATAAATTATTTTGTAAAAAATTGTCAATCATTAGATTAGGAAAGATAAATAGTTAAAGAAAAAGTGCTGCCGGGCGGGGCGCAGTGGCTCATGCCTGTAATCTCAGCACTTTGGGAGGCCGAAACCAGCAGATCACGAGGTCAGGAGATCGAGACCATCCTGGCTAAAATGGTGAAACCCCGTCTCTATGAAAACAAATACAAAAAATTAGCCGGGCATGGTGGCAGGCGCCTGTAGTCCCAGCTACTCGGGAGGCTGAGGCAGGAGATTGGCGTGAACCCGGAAGGCGGAGCTTGCAGTGAGCCAAGATTGCGCCACTGCACTCCAGCCTGGGCGACAGAGCCAGACTCTGTCTCAAAAAAAAAAAAAAAAAAAAAAAAAAAAAAAAAAAAAAAAGAATAAGTTCTGCCATGGTTCACCTATAAAATTAACCAATTTAAGTTTAGACTAGAAGAATTTAATAATATTTTATCTATTATCTGGTATGTTCATTTCTCACCACAAGGTATCATCCATATTCCCTGATGTTTCTCAAAATAAGTGTTTAGTCTCTTTGAAGCTTTATTTACTGTTTTATACAAACAGCAAGAGACAAAGGTATGAGAATTGTACTTCAGGCTACACACTGCCCTTCCTTCCTAAAAATCACATTATTCATCATTAATTCATTTATTATTCAACCAAGAATGATTTCCCAGGGACCACCATTTGCCAGCGATTTTAGGGCTGCTGTGGCTGCAAATGACAGGCACTCGACCTATCAGAATTTCTCTCTGCCCAGCAGCATCATTACAGAAGCACCCCAGGTGGCTGGATCTTGGCTCTCTTTAACTCCTCGGCTTTATATTTTATTATTCTGGTCCCTGGGGGAAAGACTTCAATTTTACTGCCCAGTTCCATGTCCGCAAATTCAGGGGAAGGTTCTCATTGGCCCAGTTTAACAAAATTACCTATCTCTGGATCGATCAGCTGGGACCAGGGAATCAGGCCAATGTAGAATGGCATAGCGATTTTAATTTAACTGTAAGAATAGGGGGTGAGGTGGGGGTCATGGCTACAAAGTCCTGATGAAAAAGGTCATGGTCAGTTGATCTTTAGGATTGCTGTCATTCACACAGTATCTTGCACAGAATCTAAGTTTATTCACTGACAGAATTTATTTTTATTTGGAAAGTTCCCCAATTACCTAATGTATAAAGCTATGAAAAATTGTGTGAAGGAGTGATTCTGTTGCTTTAGTTAGTGCCTCTTATGTGAGGTATGAGCTCATTCATTCTGGCAATAGCCCTGCTATCCTTGTTTTATAATGGAGAGGGCTGCAGCTCTGAGATGAGAGGAAACCAGCTCATCTAGGGGCCAGGACCCAAACCACAAACTGCACAGGAGTAAAGCCTGTGCAGAGTCACCATTTAATTTAAAAAAAAAACATTTCAGAATATATTTTCTTAATTCAGATCCAACTTTCTTCATAATGTCAATAGCTCAGGGTTTTTAGAGTTAATCTGACGTATTTGTTCAGCCCACAGTGACCATTAGAAACAGATGGAACTTGCCTTATTTTTTCCAGCACTTCTTTCTGAAACATGTCTCCATGTTCATGTCTCCTGTTGTGTTCATATCTTTGGACAAATTATAACCATCTGACACATTCCTTAACCCTAGGATTTATCCTTATGCACCAAAACCTATTCTCATCACAAAGTCTCCTTAAAGAAGTATCGATGTTGTAGAATGACATTCAATGATTACAAGTGCATAGCAAAAGAGGTAAACTTTTATTGCTTGCTTTTTCTTTAAATATATAAAATATATGTTATTTCTCCACAGAATTCTGATAATTATTTAAAATTATTTCTTGAAAGTTTTTTTTGATTTATAGGTCCCGTATATATTTCTATATTTCTAACTTTTTGATCTATCATTATAAGAAAAGGTATGGCATTCAAAAATTTGGTATGAAAATCAATAATTATAATGATGCCTCTACTAGGTATAATTGACTATCATTAGCCATTACCTTTATTCAAAATTTAAATATTCATTGAACTCACATGAGTAAAGAACTTAATATAATACCTCACTCAGAGTAGGTGGCTTCCTAAATAATAAAGGTTTGAATTTGATTTAGGGCTAAAAGACAAGCTGAGCATGTACCCATGCTTACCCTAAGG
This sequence comes from Homo sapiens, assembly GCF_000001405.40. Lineage (NCBI taxonomy): Eukaryota > Metazoa > Chordata > Mammalia > Primates > Hominidae > Homo > Homo sapiens. The sequence continues at coordinate 103,145,895 of NC_000002.12, forward strand.
ACAACGATAGACTTTGTACATGAGTGGGAGGGGTTTTTTGCTGACAAGACAGTTACCCCAAGAAGAGATTTGTGTCTTCTCTTCTGCTGTTTGGAGGCTGCTCCATAGGCCTGTCCCCTGTGGCTATGCTTGACTTCTCCAGAGAGCAGATGATAAAACTGGCCTTGAGTGCAGGAGGCCAAGCAGAATTTTTTTTGTAATTTGAGACAGGGTCTCACTCTGTTGCCCAGGCTGTAGTGCAATGGTGTAATCACAGCTCACTGCAGCCTCAACCTCCCAGGCTCAAGCCACCCTCCTACTTCAGCCTCCTGAGTAGCTGAGACTACAAGCATACATCACCATGCTGGCTAACTTTCTCTATTTTTTGTAGAGATGGGGTCTTTCCATGTTCCCCAGGCTGGTCTTGAACTCCTGGGCTCAAGCTCTCTGCCCACCTTGGCCTCCCAAAGTGCTGGGATTACAGACATGGGCCACTGTGCCCGGCCAGAATTTCTTCTTCTAAGCTCTATTACCTGGACATGGATCACTTTCATTATAAGTAATTCCTTCAGGCTTCCCACCACTCCAGCACCTTGAACCAGCTCATCACTTCCATTTGAAAGCTAAATTCTTCAGCAGCATTATTTTAGACTGCATCTACACAGGTCCATTTCCTGTTCCCACCACACCCCTGACATGTTTCTCCTTGACAGTGTGGTGGAAGCGAAGGCTCACAGGTTTTAGATCCATACAGGCCTTTGCCCCAGCCCTGAACTGACACTTTACTTGGACTGAGATGTTTTGCAATTTACTTGACTTTTCTCAGACTTGGCTATTGCATCTACAAAATAGCACATACCTGACAGGGTTGAAGTTAGCCTTATAAGAGATTGTTTTTTAAATTTTAAAAAGGACTAAAAGAGTGTGTATTAGTTACCAAGCCTTCGGTTTGGCTGGTAACAAGTACTTTTCACATTCATTTAGTTTTTCATGAATGTAATAAATACACATGAAGTGATCATACTATGTGCCAATCCATATACTGGGTGCTGTGATCCAAGAGTGAGCAAAATAGGTACAACCTCTGACTTCCAATTGTAACCACAGAAATACATACAATCACAATCTTACAATCACAATATAGATTAAATCACAATCTAGATTCTAAGGAGGCTCATAGTGCAAGTATCATAGTGCAAGGCTCAGTGCAAGTATCACAACTGCCAGATGAGAGCAACACAGAGGAACCTTTGAAGCCCTATCCCAAGAATGAGAGAAAGAAACTGAGAGGAGAGGAACAGCATTCTAGGCAGAGGGAATAGCAAATGCAAAGGTTTGTGACAGCAGAATGAGTTTAAAGAAATAGATCAAGGTAGATGAAGGCTGCCAGAGTAAGGTCTGGGCATGTGGACCTGGTTCTCTGGGAATAACGGGATAACTTTAAAGAATTTCAGCAGGGATATGGCAGAATCTGATTTGCGTTTTGAGGCAATCATATGGGCTCTGGTGTGGAGAACGGTTTATGGAGACCCTGCTTCTCAGAGGAGCCGACGTGTTGTGGACTAGGTAGATGAATGCTGTGGGTTGTCCACAAGGAAAGTTGGTAACCTGGACTGGAATGGTGGTGCTGTAGATGAGAGGAGGGCAGAGGTAAGATCAGCTTGACTTGGTGGAGAATCAGATGAAATAATAACATCAAGATTGGTGTTTTAGCTACTGCTTGCTTTGTGTTTACTACTAAGAACTACTCTTCTATCCCACGCTGCTGTGCTGGGCTTCCCCCTTCCTTAAAGAAAGATGTGATGTGACACCCAATCCACAAAAATTTAACATCAATTCATCCAACAGAAAAATCTAGATGGAACAGACGTGAGGCTACTTAGAGTCTTTCTTTATTGCACCTGCTTTGGATATTTTGCTACAAAATCATTTCTGTTATTTATTACTGTAGACATCACCAGGGAGATATGACATGTGTAGTGTACATATCATATTACTTGTGTAAATTCTGAGTTATTTTGAATTCCAAAATACATCTGGCTCCAAGAGTTTATGGAATTGTAATAATAATTCTAAAGATCAGCATACTGAAGTTTGCGAAGTTACTTACCCAACAACTCCCAGCTGAGCCCAAATTTGACCCCAGGTTTGTGTAATCCCAGTACTCAGTGCCACGTCCTTCTACCACCCCTGACCATTGTTTGTTCACTTCCCATTTTATTTGGAATAAATATGTTCACTGACTGAGTGCCCTCTCTCTAAGTTTGAAATATTGATAGTAGAGAAGCAAAGGAAACTCATCTAGACTGTGAAGAGAAAAAAGTTTTCCCCCAGTTGCTGCATTTTTCTCTTTTTCTCAGAATCCCACAGCAACCTCCTATTAATGTACAGCAAACCTGCTCAACTTCTTTCATCACAAACCTCCTTAAAAACCATCTGTTCCGCAAAGCATCTCCGTTACAATAACCACTCATTTCTCAAAATTGCTCGCATTGCATTGTGTTTTATCACTGTTCATTGTCTCATGTGTCCTTGTGTGCATTTATATTGTAAACCCCCAAAGGAAAATTCTTGCTTTGTTCTGTCTGTTGCATGGACACATCCACTACAGAGCTGCACCTACACCCATGCCCTGTATAAATAATGGATAAGAATAAAAACACCACCACAGCCGCATTTTATCTTGGAGGGTTAAGGAACAGTAGTTGTCATAGCAAGAAGGCATCGTATAATTCAGTGGGGAAATTTTAGAAAATTTGTTTATTTTTTTATTTGATTATTTGTTTAGGTAGAATCTTCCATTAATTTTAAAGGAACTGAAATTATTTGGAAAGCCATTTGGTGTAGGCACAAAAAGAAGCATCAGCGGCTACCCATGTCAAATGACAGCTCCACAGAGTATACATTTGAATTAATTGCTGAAACAAAATCACAAGGATAACATCATTAAATAAAACATTGCAGGTACCACCTTCCACATGAGAAAGAGTAAAATCAAGTTGTTGGGAGGAGCACCGAGTGGGGACAATTGCTTTTTCATGCTGTAAATATGCAGTAACTATGCAGGTGGGGTTCTGTGGGTATATAATGGCTGTCCTAAAAAATAAAGACAACCGGGGAAGGTACAAAGATTCTCTCCTTTCGTGAATAAATTGACCTGAAATGAAGAGATGTGTTTCAGTTTCAGAGGTAGAATGGAATGACTTATTTGTGGTAATTCACTTCCCCCTACCCCCGGCTGTATTTTGCTTTTTATGGTTTATGAAGGCCAAGTTTGAAAGCTAATGAGTTTGATTTATAAGAGCCATCGTCTTAATTCACCAGGCCCTTGTTTAAAATCTGATGGGTACAGTGATCTGACACCTTTCTTGTAATTTTAAATATAAGGCATTGTCGTTTTCCCCTTTAGTCAAGAAACTATAAAGGGGGAGGAATATATAGAATTCTGTTACTAAAATCGCTAATTACTACTCATACCAGTTAACTCCTTTCATAGGGAAATGCATTCCCAAAGTCTGTCCAAAAGGGCAGACTTGTGGCTTTGGACAGGTACAATATTGCAGCTGCACTTGGAATTGAATTTCAAAGATAGCATCTGGCTCCAAATGTTTTTCTCCTCATCCAAAGTCTTACCTTTCAAAATAGAAATACTCCAGAAGATAAGCAGCACCTGGCGTGAAAATGCCTAGGTTCCGATGAAAAGCGAATTGTGTATTTTAAAAGTTACCAAACACCCTTTCTTGAGCAAGTATCACATTCCTGTCTTGGAAAGAATGTTTGAGAAAACTGGACTTTGTGAAGTGGTCTTTGGTCCTACAGGACTTGAGGAATCACCACATGGTTGCCTCCATCCTTGCCCAGGCAGTGCCTTCTGGATCCTCTAGGGAGGTAAGATCAAAAGAGCTTACTGTTGGGAAGGTACCCTCACCTCACCATTTCAACAAAGACAAAGCAGTCTGCACTGCAATTCACCTTCATCTGTGAAATTAAAAAGAAAAATACCAGAGCAAAGAGGGTTTATATGACTACCTCCACATCGAAGAGCAAATGCCAGTGCCAAGATTAGTATCTAAATATTTATGATAAAAAACAAATGATAGAAATAGCTAAAGCTTATTAAATACTTAGTATATGCCAGCTACTTTGTGCTTCATGCAGGTGATCTCATTTTATCCTCAATCTACTTAAAGCAAATGGTATCATTATCCACATTTCATAGATGAGGCAACTGAGTCTCAGATGAGGTAGTGAACTGCTCATTAATGGTGGAGCCAGTGCTCAAACTCTGCTAATCAGATTCCAGTGATATGCGCTTCTGCAATGTGCCTTATTTCCATTATTTGAACTTGCCACCATGAAATTTTATTTTTTCCAGTGCAGATCTCTGCATAGTTTGCCTTTTCTCCAGTGCTTTCTCTCTCTTAGCAGTGCAATAGTCAGAGGTAGGATTTTGAAGATCCACACTTGCAGACACAAAGCTACTAACTAGGAACTGTTAGATGGGCTTGCTAGTGGCTATATTTGGGGTAAACCTCAGGTCTCAGGTGCAGCTCCAGAAAGACTTTCCTTGATCTCTGCTGACTGTTATATAAACAGGCCTCCTTAGAGAAGTGTCTCTCTATCTCTGATATTTCCTGAATTTAAAGCAGCTTCTACATTTCTAAGTGCAGCTCTGTAAGACTAAATGATGCACCTGGATACATTGAAAAGAAATGCTGTTGGGAAAATGCAGGGGAGGGAACCCATCCCTTCTGCAGCCAACATTCTAGATCAGGAATTCCTGGGAGCAGGAGACAAATACAGTATAGGACTCAGTCCCTAATAAGTTGCCATGGCCTTCAATATCACAGTTGCTGCCATGAGCACATGGGAAGCTGGTCTACGTTAACATTCCAGCCATGCTCAGAGGTACCACCATGACTCAGGGCATTGTTTTACCCCTTCTGCTCCATTCAAACAGGTGAGATTTTTTCACAGAAAATCTTGCAAAACCTTTCTTACCTTCCCTAGAATTGGTGAGTGTCTTCCTCCTCAGGCCTTCCTTAGCTAGAACACTCTTTATTCTTTTTTGCCATATTGTATATTGCATTGCCTTTTTGAACTACTTTTGTGTCTTTCCTACTAGACCACAGGCTTCTTAAAAAACAGCAAAGGTATATGTAACATCTTGTTTCTTAATATAATTGTTTTAAGTGAAACTAAAGCTGAGAAAGGGCATAGTGAGTGATGGGGAGTATCACAAGGTAAGGGATAGCATGGTGGGGGGTGTGGTTCTCTGAGAAAGTCAGATTTGAGCAGACAGTTGAATGAAGAGGGGTGTTGGCCATGCAAATAACAAGAGGGAGAACAGGCCAAGGAGACAGAACAGCATGTTCAGATCTCCTGTGGTGGAGTGCTCTTGGCGTGGTCAAAGAACACTGTGGTTGCTGAATAATGGCTCTGCAAAGATAGCCACATCCTGACCTCCTGTGAATATGCAAGGTCTACATGGCAAAAGGGACTTTGCAGATGTGGTTAAGCTAAGGATCTTGAGATGGCGAGATTTTCCTGGATTTCCAGATGGGCCCGATGTAATCACATGAGTCCTTGTAAGAGGGAAGTAGGAGTCAATGTAAATAGTGATGACACAAGCAAGCGGCTACTGTGAGGACTGGAAAAGGCCACAAAACAAGGAATACAGGTGGACTATAAGAGCTGAACAGGGCAAAGAAATCGATTCTCTTCTCAGAGCCTTCAGAGGAATGCAACCCAACTATCACCTTGATGTTAGCCCAGGGAGACACATTTCAGACTTTTACCCTCTAGAACTGTATGAGGACTCATTTGTACTGTTTTAAGCCATAGGTTTGCAGTAATTTGTTATAGCATTGACACGGTTTGTCTGTGTCTCCACCAAAATCTCATTTTGAATTCCCATGTGTTGTGGGAGGGACCTGGTGGGAGGTAATTGAATCATGGAGGCAAGTCTTTCCTATGCTGTTCTCATGATAGTGAATAAGTCTAATGAGATCTGATGGTTTTAAAAAGAGGAGTTCCCCTGTACAAGCTCTCTCTTTGCCTGCTGCCATCCGTGTAAGATGTGACTTGCTTCTCCCTGCCTTCCACTATGATTGTGAGGCTTCCCCAGCCACATGGAACTGTAAGTCCAGTTAAACCTCTTTCTTTTGTAAATTGCCCAGTCTTGAATATGTCTTTATAAGCAGCATCAAAATGGACTAATACAAGCATTAATAGCAAAGTAATACAAAATCAACAAGGGTGAAAGAACATGAAGTTGGAGATGGGCAGAGGCTAAATCTGAGACCTAGATCTGTGTTGGCCCAAACAAAACCTTGAGATTTGGACATAAAAGTAACAGAATGAGTGGTCTCATCCTCGTAGCAAAACAATTAAACAGAAAACAAGACCTCATTGATATCTCATCCATTTCAAATAATCTTTAATATTTTGAAATATGAATCTTCCAAAAGAATCGAGTCCTTCAAATGTACTGTAATTTATCCAGTCACCGACATGAACAGAAAATTTAATTTTATTTAATCATAGACCCCATTGAATACTACTGAAGATACTATATAGAAAAATGTACATACACAAAATTTGGATACATTTTCAGTTGCTTTATGGAACCATATGAAATGCATGCATTGACCTCAGCTTAAGGATCTTGGGTCTACATCCAGAATTATTGAGGAACATTTTTGAAAAAAATCAACTTTTATGTTATTATTCCTTTTTTCTGAAGTTGGCTGACTTAGCCTAGGTTCTCTAATGGAGGCTGAGACTAGCTTTTGGATGTAGGTGGCTTACTTTGGAAGTGAGCCCAGAGAGCAAGAGTAGAGGGCAAGATGGGTGGGGGTTGCAGCACGGAGGCAAAGAAAACAAATCCGAAGGTGTCTCACTGAATTGGCACTTGATCTCCCCAAGGGTGTTTTGAAATGTGTGTCAGAACCATCCATCTAGTGGATGAAGAGAGAAACCTGCTGACTCCTGTCTCCCATCCATTTCTAGTAGCTTCACAGTCATGAATTCTCCTGCACTTCCAATTGTACAATGGTGAATGTTGAGTAGCTTCTCAGGCCTTCTGTGGCCATAAAGTCAGAGAAACCATAGAGCAGAAAACAAGGGGTAGAGAGGTAGCCCTGGTGCAAGGTCTGGGTGCTGAGCATTGCACCTGGCAGAACTGACAAACGTTTGCTCAGAAGTAGTCTCTGCTACAGCAGACAGAGCAAAAGGAGGGGCCCAGGGAATTTACAGTAATGCTCAAAAGGTGCCCCTGACATGTGGCACACCCTCAAAAAGTTCATCTTTCTTTGACAGGAGAGGAAAAAAATGATTTTCACATACGATTACTTTTAATCATCCAAATTTAATCAAAGTCGTCTTGACTTTTATAAATGCATTGTTTAAAAATGTTACCTTTTTTCCTCATGCATTTATAGTCTATATCTAGGTTATTTAATTAAACTATATCCATTTATTTATAATAATACATATTATGTACTGCACTGTTTGCTTATTTTATGCACTGGAGCAAACAATTTATATATGTTTTTCTCGATGCATTCTTACAACAAGCCTATGAAATAAGTACTATTATCCTTTTTTTCATAGATAAGGAGAATGAGATGATTATATCACTCACCAAGGGTCAGCTGGGTAGTATGGGGGTTGAGGAGGGATAAGGGTGAAAGATTCAAACACAGGTTTTTCTAATACCAGGGCTATAAGCCACTATGTTTCTCAAAATCTAGTGTGCATCAGAGCCAATTGGAAGGCTTGTTAGAACACAGAACACTCTTTTCTCCCCCGACTTGAGCTTCTGACTCTGCAGGTCTGTGGCAGAGCCTAAGAATCTGCACTTCTAACAAGTTCCCAGCAGATGATGCTTCTGGCATGAAGGCCACACGCTGAGAGCCAGTCACTACACCATGCTAACCAACCTCTCTGAGGGACGCACCACTTCAAAACAGCAGCGTGAGATCCTTCCAAACCACATTCCCAAACATTTATTCTTCTGTTTCATCTTGACTTTAGTGGAAAGATGATATTGGAGAAGTTCTTCTGAGATGACCTCTTTCTAGAACACAGTGATTTTCTTTGCCACCCTCCCCACCCCTGCCCCACCCAATCCCTAGTACATGACCAAGGGTTTTGGGCCCATTAGCTGTAAAAACGGGCTCAGCTCCCAAGACATTTTCTTGTTGGAACGCCAAAGAAGCACATCCGTCTTACAAATGATGTTTCAACTCTGTCTAAAATCTAAATATTTATGAGAGTGAGGTTAGCTATTTGGCATGCGATACATACTTTTTTGTTAAAGTTTTCCCATTAGAAGACAGTTGCTCAGGAAAGCCTTAGAAACGAATATTGCATTTTGTTTCATAAAGATTGTGGAAAACTAAACAGCAAGAGAATCCACATTCCAATTGCTGATGAGAAGTGAGGACATGTTCCCACAATCATTCTGTGCTAATGAATTATAGTCTCAACATACAGCAAGCCTCAGCATTGTGTTTCCAAGACATAATTAAGGAAGAAAAGTATTATAGTATTATGACTTGAAGAATGAAATTTATGAAAGAAGAGTGACTGGAGGAGAAGATTGTAGCAGAGTTTGGCTGACCTAAGAGAAGAAGCAGTTCAGGAAAGGCACAGTGGAAAAAAGGCCATGCAAACTGGGTCCTAGTATTCCCTGCTGGGTCCTGGCACTTTTGAGTATGGGATATGGATGCAAGCAGATATAAGAGTCTGCCAGGGTTAAGAACACTTTGTAGTCAGCCACACTTAGCTCTTCCAGTTACAGCTTGTGAATTTAGGGTGAAAAGATTGTTCCACACCGTTAAGGTCAGGATGTCAAATTCATGCTACCACACTAGAATGTGGCTAGATTTAGGAAAAGAAATCTCTACTCAGGTGTCTAGAAGGTCACTCAGACCATTTTTCTTGAGATATGAATTTTATCTTTCAAAGACTTAATGGGAAAATGTGATCTTGGAGTCAAACAGACCTAATTTTATGCTCTGTTCTGTCTTGGGTTACATTGGTGAGTCTGTATGAGCCTTGATTTTGCTCATTCAGTTTCCTCCTCTTGGGATGACGCTCATCTTGCAGGGTCAATGTGAGGAGTACCGGAGGCACAGTCATCACAGCTTGGTCTTGTATGATGAAATGACGCTGCTCCTAGAACAGTGCCTAGAACATAGTAAGAGTAGGTCTGCAAGATCAATATTCATAAAGGCATTTGCTTTAATATTAATATCCATAAAGATATTTGCTGCTTTCAAGGAAGACACCTGAGAAGGAGCATTTCTCTATAAGCAACTGCAATATGTGCTTTACTTCTATGTTTCTTGGGGCTCTGTCTGCTCATATTTAGAGGTTTAGACAGATAAAATGTTTAGGTTCAACTCACTGCACAAACATAGCGACATTCCTTTTACATTGAATTAGAAGTTGAGATATAGGAGAAAAACAACAAAGATGGAAAAGAAATGGCATAAGAAAAGAGAGGGAGACAGGTGCTAGGGGAAGGAAGGGGTTAGGGAAGGGAGGGGAGGGGAGGGGAGGGAGAGAATAAGAATGAGAATGAGAGGGAATAGGAGGATGTCTAAAAGTATGTGGCAACTGAGGCATCCTAAGTCATCCAGGACCACAGAACTGATTGTCTTCTTAGCCAGCATCGCCAGCTCGGTGAGGCTGAACCAGGTGCTCCATAAATATCATTTAATTCACAGCAGTTGGATAGCAAGTACAATGTTTGTTTCCACTCTAAAAACAAGAAATCTAGGAGATGAGCTGCGATGGTGCTGAAAAGTGATCTTAACCACTGCACCCCATGCCTCTAGAGCTTAGCCCACCTTTCCAATGTGTCCACCCCATGAAGTGCCCTGTTTCTCCCCCTTCCCACAAACTCTGGAATATTTGTGAAAACTATGAGGTGAAGACAGAAGGGATTCTTGTAGAGTATTGCAGCTTACATTTCTTCATTTCGATTTGAAAATTTGGGGGTAAAAGGCAGAAGGCTATAAAGAAGAAGATGGCAAAAAGACATGCCATGGCTGAGCCCTTCTCTCTGTAACTTTGTATTTACAAATGTGCCAGAGAAAAATTCATGGGAGAAGTTTGGGGCCTTGGAGAGTGAAGAGGGAAATCTGAAAATAATACAAAACATAAACAGAAAATAATAAAATTGCAACTTCAAAGCCATTATAATTTTATTATGATTTTCAACTTGAGAGAGGACAGAAACAAAAGTATCTATACGAATGCCCTTTCAGATGACTCATCAGTGAGTTAGTGTACTCTGGGATATTCTGCTTTCATGAGGACGTATGGATATGTTAATATTTGGAAGTGCTTTAAATGATGGTTTAGGTTGATAATGTTTGTTGAGTTATTGTTATGAAGAAATTTTAGCATGAGCCTTAACATTATTTTAAGCAATCATTTTTTGGAATTCCAGTACTATTGATTCAAATAATATTAGTCTTGTTGATATAAGTTTATGTGAGAAGTGATTGAATAATTCTTAGATTTTGAGAATTTATTCATTCTAATCTCTCTTTAGTCCATAGTCCATTTAAATTATCCTGTTCAATTTTTAGAAGAGCAATAAAGAGACTTACAATACTCAACTCTCTCTCTCTCTCTCTCTCTCTCTCATATAATAAATGACAGAATAAAGCAGCACATTTCAAGAGTTAATAAGATCCACTCCTGTTGTATCTTATTTTTAAGAACAATTAACTCAACATATATTCACCCAGCATCTACCAAGACACACATTGCAGTAACCCTTAGAGATACCAAGAAAAGCAGTAATTGTTGCTCTTAACCAATCAAAATGTAGACCAGGAGATAGAAAAATAGTGTATGTGTTGATACTTGTTATAAACAACCACAAGGTATTAAGGCATTAAGGTTGAGAGGCTACCACTGCTTCAAACTCCTCACACTGTAGTTTGTTTGTTTTTCTAGAACAACCATGAGCAGAAAACTACAAAATTTAGTCCAATATTTAGGTGTGTATTGGGTTCTTCCCATGTCATACTTCAAGACTTTGTGATTCAATTTGGGACTGGTAATGGTATTTCCCAAAGCTTAATAATATCCATCATCATTTAGGTACTGGGATTTCAAGATGATCACTAGAAAACTACTTATGAAGTACTCTTGGCATCTTGCATTTCTCTGAGGGAGCTGGAGAAAGTGGCCAAAGCTGTAAGCTAAGTGTTTGCTCATACAGTTTGCCTTAGATAGGGATCACAAAATTTGGACTTCTCTCCCATTCTACCGATCCAGTACTTCCAAACATATTACAGCTTTAAATTCTGTAGGGGACTGAAGGACTACTTAGAGAATGAAGAGAAAAAAGTGACTATCCAGTTTAATTTTTCTAAACCACTCCACGGAGCTCTAGTAGCTTCATGTATAGCAAATGGAAAATTCACTCTGTTTAGAGCCTATCCTCACAAGAAAGACATTTGACATCAGAAAACCCTAGGCTACCCACCTCCCGCCCTGCCATGCTCAGGAGCAAATCTCTGACTTTATGAAGTGGACAGTTTTTTGTATACTTTTGATAGGTTTGTGTGTGTGTGTGTGTGTGTGTGTGTGTGTGTGTGCAGTGTGTTGCCTGCTCCCTGGAATGCCTTAGCACTGGAAATAGATTCAGTCTCTTCCCTTTGATTTCCACAAATTCCTTAATTTTTTCTTGTGTTATATTTTGTGGAGCTTCCGGTTTGGGTTTCTTGCTGTGATGTGGGAACCCTGTTGCACTTCTGGAGTTATTTTTGTATTTTGAAAGTTGTCAGTAAGTTACTGAATTCTTTTGGTTTCCATTTTATATTCCTTCATTGAGGTACTAAATTTCCTTACACACAAAAAAGGAGCAACATAACAAACAAATAAAAGCAAAGCACCGAAGCGGGTGGATCACTTGAGGTCAGGAGTTCGAGACCAGCCTGGCCAACATGGAAAACCCTGTCTCTATTAAAAATACAAAAATTAGCCAGGCATGATGCCGAGTGCCTATAATCTCAGCTATTTGGGAAGCTGAGGCAGGAGAGTTGCTTGAACCCGGGGGGCGGATGTTACAGTGAGCCAAGATCATGCCACTGCACTCCAGCCTGGGCAACAGAGCAAGACTCCATCTCAAAAAAAAAAATGAAGCAAATGATAGGGGAAAATACCTATCAAGTGTGTGGTGGGTCCTTCCATCCACATAGGGCTTTCTCCTTGGTGTAGGGTTTTGTTGGAATCCCTCTCCCCCAGTTTTGGACTTCCATAGCTGGCAGCTCCTTTCTAGACTAGAACTTTCCACTGCTGGAACAGGGAAGCCACCTAGCTCCTGCTGAAGGCCAGCTTTTGGGTGATGTGACAGGCTGAGCCTTGCTGTTTGGGTCTTATGTTCATTACAAAATAAGTTTCACCAAGCTATTGCTTAGGAGTCAGAGAATGAAGTTTCAGTTACTATTCACAGAGAAGAATATAATCTATATTAATGAAGTGGAGCATTTGGCCAGGTGTGCTATAATCCCAGCACTTTGGGAGGCCGAGGTGGGCGGATCATGAGGTCAGGAGATCGAGATCATCCTTGCTAACACGTTGAAACCCCGTCTCTCCAAAAAAATACAAAAAAATTAGCCGGGCGTGGTAGCAGGCACCTATAGTCCCAGCTAGTCGGGAGGCTGAGGCAGGAGGAAGACATGAACCCGGGAGGTGGAGCTTGCAGTGAGCTGAAATTGTGTCACTGCACTCCAGCCTGGGCAGCAGAGCAAGACTCCGTCTAAAAAAAAAAGAACTGGAGCATTTCACCATAGGTTCACAATACTTGACACAGAAAGTAGAAGGTATAGAATTTTAAAAACTCATGCCAGTCAGGGAGCGGATTTTCTTTTTTGTATAGGGGAATAATCTCTTCTTTGTTCTATAAATGAAGAAGATTGGATTCCCTGCCTTAGGGGAAGGTAGAAGCTTTTTGGCTCACTGAAGCCTGAACTTTTTGTAAGAGCCCTTGATATATGGGGGTTCTGCAGAGAAGGGATCCATCCCCCTGGTAAGTGTAGTTCAAAGTGGGAAATTTATGTTCCCTGAAATGTTTAGAGAAAGTTCAGTGCTGATAACATGAACCCAAGACCTCCTCAGTGGGGGCCCTGAGCTTGGAAGCCCTTTTGCTCTTGACTCATGATAGCCTTGGGCTTGGGGGAGCTGAGCATCCAGTGGGTACCAACAGAATTCTGCCCTTGGATCCCAGCATAAGCCATTGCCACAGAACCGGCGGGGATGTGGGCCATGGCAGGCATCTACCCCACAATGCACAAGTACCCACCAGGCTCTACTAGGTCCCTGCCTAACAGTGACACCTTGTGACAGCAGAAGAGGCAGTGTAACTATTATCTCAGGGGCCAGAATAGTCAGCTATTAATAAACCGGAAATACTTTTTACCATGGACCTAATCTGGAGTTTAAAAACTTATTAGCAATGCCCCACATATGTTCCTTGCTAATAACAGTGTTGGCAGATGGGTTGATTTGATAGCAGGGAAACTTTCACATCCTCTCCCCTTAGATCAGTAGGTGTGGGGAGAGAGGCAGGTGGTCGTAAGACACCAAAAGCAACCCCACACATCCAAGCTCATAAATTACCCGTGGAGTGACGTTTACAACTCTTACTTAACGATTTTAAAATACAACTGGGTTAACTTAGGGAGTCATTGAATGTTAGTTAGGCTGATGAACTGAAAAGGCAGTGTGCATGTGTATGTGCCTGGGTGTGTGTATGTGTGTACGTGTGTATGTTCTACTGTAAGCCCTAGTGGAAACTCTGCTATGGTCCCACTTCACTAGATCATCCTGGCTCATTCAGTGGAGGGCATCAAATTCACAGGCTTAACTAGGAGAGACTGACTTTTGTGCCTTGTCTGTGCTTCAGAGCATCCACTGGACTCCAAGAAGCCTATGGTCAGCTGTAGCCCCCATACACACAAAAGAATTTTTCTTGCCCACTCTACCTAAAACCAATCTCTTTCAGTGTGACAGAGTCTTGAGAATCTGTCTGATTCTTTGGTGCTTCATTCTGAACTGGTCCTTTTGTGGAAGGTTGAAATGTCCTCAGTTGGAATGCTTCCTGTTCAGGTCACTATCACTGATGTCTGAGCCTGGGAAAAGTCAAAGGATGCTCAAGGAGTGAGGTTGTGTTGATTATTTCAAAGTAATTTTATAAAAATCAGGCCAAAAGATGGTAAACTACAGTTCTCTTTTACTTAAAGAACATCATATTGAGAATTCGTTAACAGTCAAACCAAGCAAAGTTTCTCCTACCTACGGTCAGTGCAGTATTTTGAGAAACAAGTGGAGAGTTATAAGAAAAAGTCACTGTGCTATTGATCTGTGCTAATGGCAACGCAGATGATGACAGCAGATGAATTTAAACGTCTGAGCTAAAGAATTGTGTACCTTTTGCCCTAAACATGGAGAAAATTTAAAATGCTCTAAGAATCCCCTTGTTCTAACCTTTCTTTCTCCACTTTTTAACATATGGAGCTTTCCTGCAATTTAAGCAACCACATTCCAGAACACTAGGTTTAGAGAAAAGATAGGCTAGAGTAGAAGCAAACTGACAATTTATACTTTTTTTCTGCCTTCTATATAAGTTAGTGCCTGTTAATTAACCGGTGTGAAAAATTCAACATTACAGGGTAGGGTTATTAAACATTTTTAGGACCAATACAGTGGCAACAGCCTCAATCAGTGTAATGTACCCTCCTACAAGTAGTGCTTAATTACAGGGATTAGCAAGCAATGACTCTTTTAGTTAGCTTTAATTTTTCCAGACATATTCCAGCCAAAAAGCCTGGCTCCTCCATTTCACTGGTGTGTATGATACCAATGCGGAATCCAGTGGCGAGAAAGCGACTAGAAGACAATCTATATAATTGGCTGAAATGACATCTCTGAGGAGCAGATGCTCTGTAATCTTGCAAATCAAATTAAAAGCAAAACAAACTATTTCCTTTTAGCTGTGACCGAATTCAAATGTCCTTTTGGTATTAAAGGAGCAAAACAGTCTTAATTGTTTATTGATTATTCAAATCATATAAGCCTTAGATATATTAGTGTGGTTTAACTGGTTGTTTTTTAGCACAGGGGTCAGGGCTTAATGGGAAAGCCGGGTGCCAAGAGCTAAGAATCTCTGCTGCGTGAGAATGAGTCTTGATGTGCCTTCTCTGTTTGGGACGACCTGGGATGTGGAGCGCAGAGGTGGCCCCTTCATTAACCTGCGGGTTGCAGGAGCATTATAAGTAGTTTTTCTAGCTGACTGAAAATGAGCCTTGAGACCTCTATACGGAAACTTCTGTTTGGTCTTCCTTGCTGTGGAGACACCTGCCAAAAGTGAGCTGGCAAAGGATAAGAAGCAGAGCGGGGTGGGGGGATCCTCAAAGATGATCCGTTGCTACCCAAATGAGTTTTTGGTCAAAGTCTTTGAGCACAGTGCAAGAATGAAAAATAGAGTGGGAGGAATATTTTTCAGCTATTTTGCAATCTAATAATGTCAGCTTTCAGGATTGAGGAGAAGGAAAATATGGAGGGCAATGGAAAGGATTTAAGAATATTCTGAGATTAAAATGTTATCTTTAAATATTGTACTTCAACTGCACAGCGACCAAGGACTTTCATGCTGCCTGCCAAGGGTGACTAAATCTCAGTTTCCTTGTAGTAGAAAGTAATTAGCTGTTCCCTGCCACCACTAGGTGGAGATGTAGGTTTACACAGAGCTGACTCCCTGGCTAAAAATGGCCTGTGATGGCTGAAAAATCCTTAAGGAAAATTTTAAATGTTCAAGATTGATCAATTACGAACCATGTTGGTCACAAATTCACACTAATCTTTAAGGGTCCATCCCCTTAGATTTTAAAAAATCCTACATCACACAACAGCAGCAAAAATCCTTCAGTGTGCAGTTGTAAAGTTGTCCTTGTGAATTAGAATTATTATTTTTTAAGCCATAAGCTCTGATGTTTAAGACTCTGAGAGAATAATCACGCCATGTTATAAATTGTCTGCTGCCAATACACACATATTTTCCTTTATTCTCACACCAGCTGCTAGCTCATGCTATCAGTGGTCAGGAACAAACAAACAAAAACCACCCCTAAAAAAAACAGCACAGAGCTTCCTTTCCAACTTCACCCATGGAAGTGTGCCAGGAACTGGCAGGAGTTGGGAATTGTGTGTTCGAGTTTAAGGGGTTGTTTCTAAATGTAGTACTTTTTGAGAATCTCATTACCTCACATCTTGATGTGTGAAGTATGATTCACAGCGCAGTTTGCTAAAGGCTAGTTAGCTCTTGTCTCAGCGGTCTTAGGTGTCTAATATCGTATTAATCAAACCTTAGTGAAATGAAGCATTTCAGTTTGTTTTGGCTAAGCCTCTTCTCTCTACTGAGTTGACCCCTTTTCTTTTATGTAAACTTTTCTATACCCATTGGTGGATGGCATGGGCTATCAGATGGCTTCCAGAATAGACAATGGATACCAACCGTTTTCTAGAAAGGCAGAGAGTCATTTATTATTCCTCCTTTCACACTTTGTCTCCCAGATGAAAATGCTTCTGAAGTTCATTTAATCATTCAGTCACATTTTCTCTCCCCCCCCATTCTCTTGGTCTCTTTCATAGAAAGAATACCTCATAGATTTCATCTAAGTTGCCCATGTAACCCTACTCTTCAGAGGGGCTATTCCACCTGCCAGGATCCCATTTAAAGACCCAATTTTCTCATGAAGAAAAGGGACTCTCCATTTATGTCTGGGAAAGTTCAAACAGCAATATAGTCATTGCTTCATTGCAATTACGCAAGTCAAAATCTCTTCCAAAATGAGTATCAAACTTGAAAAATGGTGAATTTTGATAATAAAGCCATCATGGCCAAAATACATTAAAATTCTTATTAAATATTTTCTCCTTAAAATTTCAAAATGCTAAAATTTTTATTACTGTGCAGATTAATCTATGAAGAAAGGCAGAAGTCATTTTTAGTGCCCCATATTTACCAGTTTAAAAAAAGAAGGAACAAACAATTAAACATTTAAAAACCAAAATTTATATCTAAAATATTGCTTTCCATTTTGCCATTAATTTGTGTCTATAATAAGGTAGTATTAAGGTAACCTTCAATTTGTTTCTTTTATGTACACACCCACAATTAGGACCATACAAAATCAGATAATTTGTTCACAACGAGCACTATGTAAAGGGAAGCCCCATTTTTTAATTTCAATGATAGACTTTTTAAAAAATCATATTTTATGTCAGTAGATGTCACATTTATTAGATATTTTCTGATTCTAGGGGAAGGGGACTAGGTGTGGAGCACATCCTTCCTTGAATAGACATTAAATGCAGGCACGTTATGAGCAGAGCATTGCACGAAGGTTGAGGAGGATGCAGGGCTGACCAGCCCTGTTCTAGACCTACAGGAGTCTCATAGGCTAATCACAGGGTTCATGCATTTTAGGAACACCAACATCAGCATGCTACAAATATTATCTGTAAAATGGCTATTCTCTCTTTAGCAAAAGGAGCCTTAGAGTGTCTGGTAGAAATGTGAAATCTTTTATCCACAGGAAAAAATAAAACTTACCTTTATTAATAAGATACAACTTGTGTGTGTGCTTAATATGTGCTAGAGACTATACTGATTTAATCCTACAAAAGCCCAATGAGATGGGTACAATTATTGTTCTCATTTTGCAGAAGAAATTGAGTAACATAGAGGTGATGGAAGGTGCCAAAGAAGACACAGCTAATGAGTAGCGAGGCTACAATTCATACCTAGGTAATCGGACGGCAACATCAAGGATCTTACACGTTTTGCTGTCAAATACGAGTTCGTATTTGCTTTCAGTATCTTGTAACTTTTTTAATGAAGTTTTTCTTAAATAACTTGAACATATTAGTTATCCACAGAAATACCTTATAGAAGTACCACTTTTTTCAGAAGAGAAGCATGTATTTTTTTTCCTCAGCTCAAGTCCTCTTGCATATAATGCTATATTTAAAATTTAAAAATGACATTTTTAACAAGTCACTAGTTCTTTCAAAATAACTATAAAATATATTTTTAAAATTTTATTGTGCTGGTACACTGAATTCTAAAACCGTACACTTATATGAGGAGCGATAGTTGGAAAAACTGTAGTTATTTATTAGTCAACATTATTCCTTGCCATAGGTAGAAATGAATTAAGATAATAAAATATTTTAAGAATAAAACTCCATATTGATAAGTGAAAAGAACTGTTTCAAGCAATACTCAAAAATATCTGTCACACACACATTCAACACACGCATGAGATTGCTTCTGTGCAAAGTCATATGATCAACATGAACTTTCTTTGCTCAAGGGAGACGGACACTTTTGAATCATGAATATTGATAAGAACTAGTCCAGTTTAAAAGTGAAAGTCAAATTTCAGGCAAACTAAAACTTAGGAAAGTCCATATCTAGAAAAAGCCAAATCAGAACTTCATGCATGCCAGGAAGAAACGAAATTTCACTCTTTCCTCAAACTCCTCACTCTCCTCAGTGAGAGCCTGTCCCCTTTCATCCTGCATAAGTCTAAATACCACCTAATCAGTTACAGATTGGGAGGGAAAAAGGAGTGCTTGCCTAATCAGCTTTCTCCTGAAATATTAAATATTAAGAAAGGTCTCAGGGGAATCAGTCCTTGATATGATAACTCACTGATGTGTGTGTTCCATGTGCCGACACAAGCATACCTTCTAAGAAGCCAGTAATCATGAAACTTAAGGGTCATGCAAAGAAACCTCACGTTAAAACAAAAAAAGGATTGGATTGGTAGATGGAGTAGGGAGGAAAATTAGTTTCAAGAACCCTTCTTAACTAACCAATTATTTTGGCTTATCTTGTTATCTGTAATAACTCCAGCTGGACCCCAAATGAAACGTTCAAAGAAAGGCAAGCAAGCACTGCAGAAGAGATGGACTCAAATGGACTAAAAAGGCAGAGCTTGTTTTTGGCTGTAGCGCCCTTTTGCCATGACAAAGCTGGGAAAGGAGACACGCAGTCTGTCGCATTTATTTCTGATCAATCTACATAAGAATTGTCAGGCTGGCACGTTGGATTACTGCTGACTTGTGAGTTGAGATCCATTTGCTTCAGGTTTTCACTTTTCATTCTTAGAAGCCCTGGTCATCTCCACAGAACTGTATTTTGTGGATGTTTTCATTGTTGGGAATGTTGATCAAATTAGGTGGAAAAAAGAAAAAAAAAAAAAGGAACATGACCACCTTGAGATTCTCCTACATTGACAGAGCACACGTTTGATCAAAATGCAATGTCATTCGTCTTTCGTGGCTTTTTGTCGATCATGTTTGCTGGAAGGATAAGTGAACTCCATGAAAAGACATTTATCTAAATTATCCTGATAAAGTGCCATCACTCTGGGTAAAAAGAAAAATGAGCGAGAAGGCCAGACTCTACGCACATGCCTTCCACTTGAATTAACCGAGGAAAAACATAAAGACACATCATGCAACTAGTATTTTACATACATATGTGTGTGCGTGTAAACTAGGATCCTCTGTGCTAAAAGTTATCTTTGTGCTTATTCAACTCTTAAAAACACTATCAAAATCCTTATAATATACCGACCTTGATATAAACCAAGAATCATCACCGGCTCACTGATAGAAAGCCAGTAACCAAATTGTAAACAAATATAGGTAATGTCTGAGAGTCTATGTTGACAAGTAGATAAGAAGATAAATGTAGAGTTTTTCTTAATTAGCCTTTCTTAATTAAAAACAGGAGCAGTATTGTGATCAAAATGAACTCTGGTGGGAGCCTGGTCACTTGGTCTTCTGGGTATCACTTGAGGAAAATTAGATTTTTTTTTTCCCTTCTAGGATAAATTGTGCACTAAAGAAGGAATAAATGGTGTCTGTGAGCAGTGTCCCCTTGGTTTTTATCTGCGTGAGATGGATGTGCCTCTTGTCGTTTTCAGAATGGCGTGGGGGCAGACTTAGCCATCATTAGCACCCCAGGATGGATCCAATTCACTAATTACTTATGCTGTCCTGGTTCACTGAGATTTAAGTACCAAGTCAATCCCATTATCTGCAGTCTCCCAAGCTTGCCAGAGCCATCCGTCTTTCATGGAAAAGAAGCACAAGGGTTATCAATTGGGCCCTGCAAGACTTGGGATTTTCCTACTTTGGGAGAAGGCAAGATTAGTCCTGACTCAAGTCCAGGCCCCTCTAAGCCGCCACTTTGGATGCGATAAAAGAAAATGGTGACAATTATCCATAACTATGTGAAACACCAGGAGGGGAAAGGCAGGGAGCAAGGGGAAGGGAGGGGCGAAAGGGAAAAAATAATAATAAGGAGAGGTAAAAACGCACAGAAAAGAAAGAATTCCTGCTCCGCTGCAACACCAGGCCTGTGGTTCCAGGCAGTTTTTCACATCACCTCTGAGCTACAAATGACAATTCATCTGTTACAAACACATGATAATATAGTCAGAAATCAGGAATTAAAATATTCTGAAGGCCTGAGGCCCCCTCAAAGAAGAGGGATGGCAGGGGAGGGGGCCGCAGGAGGGAGAAGCCGACCCGGGAGCCTCCTGGGAGGGCCTCCTCACATTCGCCATGTTCAGTGTCCCTGGGCTGTGAGGCCGGGCCTCTGCTGTGTGGGATGGGTGATTGGCACCTGCTCTGCGGAGGGGAAGGGCCTGGCAGCTCCTGGCAGCATTGTCACGTTCATTTGCACACTTTAGGAAGCAGCAGTGTGGCTACTAATACAAAAAAGAATCTTCTAAGCAGCATGACATCTCTTGGAATGGAATATTTGTCTTTACAAATGATTGCTCTGCTGCCAGCACTTGACACGGTGCTCGCAAACATGTGTAATTGTTGGAAGTGTAATGATGATTATTTGCATATTTAATGTTCAAACAGTACTGAAGAAGCAACCTAGACTAAACCTTTTAGGGGAAGATTTGAATATGTTGGGCATCAGCCTGAGGAGTCCCAGGAAGGAGGAGGCAGCCAATGGAGAGCAAGTGCGGGAATAATTGGCTTAAAGTTCCACTGCACCACCCTGCCTTGGTGCCTTTATTCGTGTACACAATAGCTCTCCCTGGGCCCATATGGGGTAGAAGTTCACCAGCATCAGAAAGGTGCTTTCTCTTGGCTTTAGTTTAAACATTAGCTGCAAGACATCCTATTCCAGCCTGGTTTTACATTAACCAACTGTGAACCCAAGAACAGTATCCAGGAAATAGGGATGTGGGTAGACGTAGGAGGGAAGATAGGCATGGAATTCATTCCACTTTTTACCCACAGGCAAGTGGAAATTGTCCACTCATCTCTGGATCCCCCCAAAAAAAAACATTCTTAAGGAAATTATCTAGCTGAACTATTAAAATGGCATTATATTGAAATTTGTAAAAAGAACATTTGATTTTCCTAGAAAGTAAATGACTTCTAAGATTCCTTTCCAGTTTTTACTTGGTTGGAACCTTGTTCGATTAAATGTGCTTTTTCTCACAATATTCTTTAGAAATAGAAAGTACTGGGTAATTTGAATGAAATTAGAAAGATCTCTATTCCCAATTCCCCACCTTCCTCAAATGTAGACCCCAATTCACCCCTATGGTGCCCAGGTGTGAAGTTTAATGCTTTATCTTTCTGCTTCCAGGCTGTGACCACTGAAGTTTGCAAGTTCACCTTGGATTCATGGGGGCCTTTCCCCAAAGTAGCATCCCTTGTAGGAAACATTGCGGGAAATCCAGAACTCAGAAAGTGCCTATGCAAATGACATCCCGTTGCACCTAATTTCTTACTAGTGACAGAGCCACTGGCCCTGGGCACCTGGCGGCCTGCCTGCCTTTCCAGCCTGTGCTAACCAGACTCTCACAGCAGGCTGAGCTGTGCTTACCCACACATGCGAACGCATCTTGAACAACTTGAAGCACGGAGATGGGGCGGCATGTTCCAAATCAGCAGGAAAGGAAATTTCAGATGGTGGCAATCATCGCAGGGAAACGCACCTCACTGAAATCAATAGAATAATTTTTGATAATGTAGCCACTTGATCTGGTAATTGGGCCTTTCACCTGTAGTGAACGGCTTCACTGGAGACTTTCTTGAGCTATTAGATGCCTCTTACTTGGAGGCTATCCTGTTTTTATCTTTCAAAATATGTGGAGTAATTAGCTTTTGAGTTGAGTGCTTTCGCCTCTTCCTCACTCCCCTCACTCCCTTGCATTTCCACCCGCCCACCCCCAGCTTGCTCTTTTCCAGGCCTGCCCCCGCCCTGCCAGGAGCCACTTGGTATTGAGCCACTGCTCATCACAGAATTGTACAGTCGTTTGAGGGGCAGCACAATAAACCTCACTCCATTATCATCTTGTAAATTGATTTTTTTTTTAAATCTGGAGGGTGAGTAGGACTGCGCATCTGCATTCCCGACCCTTGTCTTCCTAGCCTTGGCTTGTAGCAGGGCTGAAGTACGATTGACAATGCTTCTAATCAGTGCTGTCTGGGGGCCAGGGAGTGATTTACCTGCAGTGGAGGAGGGTTGGCAATGTTACCTTGCATATCGTCCGATGACTAATTCTTTAGAAGTGAGACAATACATGTAGTATACTTCCGAGCATCACATTGGTTAACAGCTTTCTCATAAAATAGTGTTGGGAATATCAAGCCAAGGAATTACTGATAGTGAACAATTCAGGCATCCTTCCAAATCCATTCTTCTTAATTCTCCCAACAACCTGATGAGATATGTACTATTATTATAACTAAGTCCCCATTTTATGGATCAGGAAATCAGGGCATAGAGAAAATAAACAACCACCCTGACATCTCCAAGTTCACACAGGATGAGACTGGAATTCAAACCAAGGAATCTCAACCAGAGTCTGTGCCCTAGCCACTGCACTACCCTGCCTCTTAGGGTTGTAAGCTATACTTCCTGTCTCGATGTTACCTATGGGTACGATGTATGAATGCGAAACCAGTGTCATTTCCACAGGTCGCTACATGGCACTGCTTGCAAGACTCCGTCTGCCATTTTGTGTCACTTTAGAGACTCCAGAAGTGGAGACGATTACCACTGACAACCCCACAACAGTTCATTGCTCTCCCACCACATGGAATGCAGAAAGTTAAAGGATTTATTTTTCTAATACAACATTAAACAACCCTTGGGATACAAAGTTGAATTTTATTGCTTGTTAAATTATTTGAAGAGCAAAAGTATTTAAAAAGCATAGGACAATAATTAGCCGTATTTCTTTAGGGGTTTGTTGGTTTGACCTTAGCCTTTTAATCTGTCAAAGTATGCTAATCAGCCTGACAGACAGAAAGATCAAATACAGAGGCTGAGGCACTAGTAGGGAAAAGAGGAGAAGAGAGTAGATAAATGAAGGACCAACAGGACATGAAGGGGACCGTGGCCAATGGTCACTGCAGGTCTACCCTTCCAGAGTGACCCCAAAAGGCTCAGGGCTAGAGAGAGCCCCTAGAACAAAGCAAGTCACTGGTTTTGTTCCCAGTCCAGCAAAGTGAGCAAGCTCATCTGTGTTTGTTCCAGAAATCTTCTTTACCATGAGCTGAGCATGAAATGAATTGATTGTTTAAAAGGTTGTGGATGGGATGGAGATTATATCAAATCTTCTAATTTAAGGTTTAGATGTATGGCATCTACAGTTCCAGCTGAATGCCTTACATCATTCTATAACTCTAGTAGAAACGTTTACTGCTCACCAAATATCCATGTACTCCCCCATTTTTCAAGTCTCTCTGAAGCTCAATGGGCTATGCAGTTAGGTGAGTGGAAATGACAAGTGTCATTTTTGAGTCAAATCATTCAATATCAGGTGTGTGGCCTGACAGCTTTCTCTTTTCCTATTGTGGGGAGGAATGCAGGGCCAGGACTTCAGATGGTTCAGCTAACAGGTGAGGGATCCCCCATTTCCTGAGCTGTTCAGCAAATCATTAGAGTTGACCCTATTCTACATATACTATCAGCAAGAAATAAACTCTTGCATAGATTATTTGAGTTCACACATTCTCAACCCACCCTTTAGTTCATGACTATACATGACTCAGATAGGAAGAATGAAGGTGAAATCACTGATTCCCTCCTTACTGATGAACATTGGGCAAGATGCTTTCTATAAGTCATTTAACTTAGGTCTCCCAGGAGGAAAAAGGTTAGACATTGACATTTCATCATTTGATAAATGAAAAAGGAAAGGAAGCTCAGAGAGGGCAAACAGCTTGCCTAAGGACATGCAGTCACTCTGCTGGAATTCAAAATGTTTGGCTCTAAAATTTATGTTTTCTACTTTATTTCACCTAGCCTTCCCAAAAGACAAACTAGACTATTTAGGTTTCTTAGAAGCCAGGGAAGAGACTGAATGGTCAACTTATAGTTTTCTAAGCTTCCAAATCTATGATTCTGTGTTTAGTCCAGCAAGGTAGCACTCATATTTTTTCTCTGTAAGAGAATATCAAGATTCTAAATTTCTTAAAGTGGTATTTTTATCACCCGAGCAGGGATAGTAGAGGTATTTGGGAGATAACCCAAAAGAACTCCTAAGTTCCAAGGAGAAAGTCAGTCCAGTATCATAGCCCCTGCCCATTTCCATGCATTTCTCTCCTACCCAGGACCCCCCACATTATTATCCCTTGTTTCTTGATAAGCCTTTAGACTCTCTTGAAATTTCTGTCTTTTCACATGTTCCACATACAGTATCATTATCCCAAATACCTGTTTGTGTTGGACTATATTTAATATGTGAAGCAAATTAGTCATTAATCAAGTTAAAAAAATTGGTGTTATTCTGACTTCTCCCTCTTTCAAAATTATGAACATAATTCAATCTTTATATATGTCACCCCAAGCCACCAGAGACGTGTGTATCCCTATACTTACAACTGTACATCCCCACTCCCGCCCACGACAAGATTGGTGCTGTGAAAAGTCTCATAAGTCCTAGAACAAAAAGCATAATTAAAAGCTTTAAGAATCACTGAATTAGGCATTATGTTGTCTGGATACAAATGGATTGAAACCTGAACATAGGGGATGTGTGGAGGCCATTAAGGTGGCCCATAGTAAACATGATATTGTATTCAAGTTCATTGACTCAATTAACTTTTATTTAGCATCTAAGCTAATCCAGGAAGTATACTGTGGTTGGCCATATAAACACTATCATGACCCAGTCTTTGTCCTCATCAAAGTTACACTTGAGGTGGAAAACTGCTATTCATCATTGTTCACTCAATAATGAAGTCTCCTCTTAGCTCTCTGTCAACTATTCTCAAGGTCAACTTCTCTTCATCTGTCCTTCTTTTAAGTATTGTTGTCCTGTATGGCTGAGTCTTCCCCAACTTTCTTTCCTAACTATGAATGTGACCCATGAGTGATCTGATTCTTCATCTTTTCAATGTTATCTGTGTGCTAAGTGTACCATGACATGCCAGGAGCTCTCTCCTTCAGAGTCTTACCTGGATCTATGGCTGTCACTGACTCATCACCTTAACCACAACCACCACTACCATCAGCATCACGCTGTACCTAATTGTGTAGCTCTTTTTATGTTCCAGGCTCCGTCTCAGTGCTTTACATCATTATTTCATACATGCCCGATAGTGCTAGAGCTAAGACTGAAACCCATGTCTTCCTTGACCCCAAAGTCCAGCTCCTTAAAGAGTGTGTTTTTTAGATTTTCCCCCTGGGATGTCCAAAACTTCATTCCACATTGTATCCAACCCACCCTTACAATATCTCCAATTCAATAGAATCACCATTATCCAGCCAATAACCAGAAAACTGAAAGTCATTCACCTTCGTCACTCAGCAGGCTCTGCAGACTCAGACTTTTTAATTCCTCTCAAGTTTTCCAGTTTCCCTCCTTTCCTTATTTATTTATTTATTTTTTATTATTATTATTATTATTATACTTTAAGTTTTAGGGTACATGTGCACAATGTGCAGGTTAGTTACATATGTATACATGTGCCATGCTGGTGTGCTGCACCCACTAACTTGTCATCTAGCATTAGGTATATCTCCAGTGCTATCCTTCCCCCCTCCCCCCACCCCACAACAGTCCCCAGAGTGTGATGTTCCCCTTCTTGTGTCCATGTGATCTCATTGTTCAATTCCCACCTATGAGTGAGAATATGCGGTGTTTGGTTTTTGGTTCTTGCGATAGTTTACTGAGAACGATGATTTCCAATTTCATCCATGTCCCTACAAAGGACATGAAATCATCATTTTTTATGGCTGCATAGTATTCCATGGTGTATATGTGCCACATTTCCTTAATCCAGTCTATCATTGTTGGACATTTGGGTTGGTTCCAAGTCTTTGCTATTGTGAATAATGCCGCAATAAACATACATGTGCATGTGTCTTTATAGCAGCATGATTTATAGTCCTTTGGGTATATACCCAGTAATGGGATGGCTGGGTCAAATGGTATTTCTAGTTCTAGATCCCTGAGGAATCGCCCCACTCACTTCCACAATGGTTGAACTAGTTTACAGTCCCACCAACAGTGTAAAAGTGCTCCTATTTCTCCACATCCTCTCCAGCACCTGTTGTTTCCTGACTTTTTAATGATCGCCATTCTAACTGGTGTGAGATGGTATCTCATTGTGGTTTTGATTTGCATTTCTCTGATGGCCAGTGATGGTGAGCATTTTTTCATGTGTTTTTTGGCTGCATAAATGTCTTCTTTTGAGAAGTGTCTGTTCATGTCCTTTGCCCACTTTTTGATGGGGTTGTTTGTTTTTCTCTTGTAATATATATATATTGCCTCAGCAGAGGTCTTCACTAAGGCTCCGAATCACTGCCTTGCTTTTGAGGTTGTCTCTTTCAAATTGATTGTTGATATTATTTGTTGAGAGGTAGTCCCAACTGAAGACCTAAAATTCAAGTGACTACCCCTGCTTTAAATCCTCCAGAGATCCCTCACAGATTGCAGGACAAAGCCCTGACCTTCTGTCTGGCAGAGCCAGCCCTTTTGCCCTGTACTTGTTCCCTGGCCAAGGGCCTGCTGGCAGCTCTCTCCAGGTACCACCTCTGCCTTCTCACTCAAGGGCCTTTGCACAATGTAGTTCCACTTCCCTTCTCTGACTCACTGCTAATCACTGGTCACCTTCAACTCAGACATCACTAAGGCCTTTCTACCACCCGCCCCTTCTTCAGACTGACTTTTAGCATGTTCGATACAGAATTACATCACTACCTGAAAACAACCCAGTGAAAGAAGGCAAAACAGATATTATTTTTATTGCCTTTTTATGGGAATGGAAACTGATGTTTAGGATGTTTAAGGACCACACATAGGAAACTGGTTAATATAAGAATTAAATAAATGGCCTTGGATTCTATATCCTGTGTTTTTCTAGGCAGTTCCTTTCAACTTAGAATTTAAAGGTGCTATGGACCGTCCCTTTTTCTTTCCTTTAAGATGTTTTTTCCTATAGAAGGGGTCATGTGTTTCTCACCTGCATCTTTTTAACAACGCAAGTAGAGTGTACAGTTCTTTTTGCACTTGGTGTCTTCCATTCTCCTTTGTCTCTTTCTATGCAGACAGAGTGTTGCCCTGTTAAGAAGAAAACTTGGCTAGAATCTTCCAAATACTTGCTGAGTGACATTGGGAATGTCACTTCATGTCTCTGAATTTAGTTCTCAAATTTGCAGTGTGATTGAGCTAGGAGATGCCATCTAAGCTCAGACGTCCTGTCTTGCCCTTGCATTCTATATTGCCAATAAAAATAAATTAAGCCCTAGAACAAGTATTTTGGCCAATTCATTTTTCACAACATTAGAATGCTGCCTATCTAAAAACCATTTTAAATACTCAGTTTTATAAGTAACCTAAAACTCCTTGATAACTGAAATAGGGATGCCGTGAATAGGGGACTTGAATAGGATTCATCTTTTAGTTGCTGAACAAATGCAGATATATTGACTAGGGCCAGAAGGAAATGTGGTTATTGGACCAATAATTAGGTTCAATTTTTACCTTTGCCTGTGATTAGCAGTGAGTGTGAAGCATGTCATTGTCATGTCAAGTACAATAGCTCCATTCCTTACTTCACTTTTTCTGTGTCTGAGACAATGGATATCAACACCCTTTGAAAAGTTCTAATGGTAATAAAAGGTATCACTCCCATTAACCGTTGGCCTTTGATAAGTCACTTTCTATCTCTAGACCACAATTCCCACTTTTTAAAAATGAAAGAATTTAGATAATTTTCTTCTAAAGTTTTCATAGTATGGAAATAAATAATAATGATGTTGATGATAATAATCACACAAATATTGAGCTCACAATGTGCTAAGAACTGTGCCTGACACTTTAAGCCCATGGTATCATGAGATGGCCTTTTGACGGGATGATACCCACATGGATTTTCAGTTCTTAAAACACAAAATCTAGAGTAGCTAACGTGGGCAGTGATCTAAATAGAAAGATGCTTTTAAATCTTTCCCCAGACGAGATTTTTTTATCACCAGGCTCCGTGGTAGAACTTAAAATTATATCCAATGCCTACTTTTTCTAATTTGTAATTATGGCCTTATACACCTCCTCTACCCGCACCAACTATTCAACATTCTCTTAACAAGCACATCGATCTATCTCTTTGCTCTCTCGATGCCATTGCCTTTTCTAATTTTGGAAGTCCTAGATTTCTTCCCCTGGACATTCCTTCCTTACCTTCCAGGACTGAGCCTTATAGGTCACTGTCTTTCTTGAGCTGTCCCTAAAAAAGTTGCCTTGGCCAGGATGCATCTTGCCTCCTCAGTACTTCCTGTGCATTGGCGGGTTCATGAAATGGAATAGCACTGGGTTGCTAACATTTTGTTTAAGTTTTCCTTTCCTTCTAAGCCTATGACCTCCCCCAAGACAGAGGCTGTGAGTGTTGTACCTAGGCATCCTGTCAGCTAGGGAGGCCTCAGCACTTGTGGGTAGTATGTGAGAAGTTTATGAAAAGATGACTCAGATGAAGTTTATGAAAAGATGACTCAGTGAATGTTTTCCACCAGTTTTGCTTTCTCTGTTTTTCTGGAAAATAGACCGTATAGTTTCACTCTGATGTTCCCCTCTTCCAACTCTGCCTATAGCTGAAATAATGAATATAAATGGCAAACAAGTAAAAGTAAATATAAGCATTCAAGTTTGGCTTGCTTTTTCCATCCTGAGTACTGCAAACTACTTAAATTTACATTTACAGAAGGCCAAAATCTTAATTTGATTTCTCCCACTAAAGGTCTTAAAATTCAGTCTGTTTCAACATGTGGAAAGTTTACTATTTGCAGGGCTGTGTGCCGGAAGGTGTGAGGGATGTGGGGAAGAATGTCGCTGTCCCTGGAATTGAAGAGAGTGGCACAAAAATCTTCACCATTCTAGAATAGGATTAGTGCTACAGGATATTTGGAAGCAAACTGCCATGATAGACCAGAGAGAATGGGGACATTTTTAGGTTAGGGGACAGTCTTCCTCACTATTAAACAGTGAAACAATTACAAGAAATAACAATCAGCAAAGGGAACACCAAGAGGGCACAGCACTCACCAAAACCATGGGGCCAGGCCAGGCCATGCAGGAAACAGCAAGCCCTCATGTTGAACAGAATCCAAGCCAGGTGACTGGAAGGAGAGACTGAGGACAACGTGGGTCCAGGTACCAGGAGTTTAGGTTTCAGTATGAGGATGGCTGAGAGCTGAGAAAGACGTTTAAGCTGAGGATGAAGGGCCTGGTCCAGGGTGGAACCCAGGGTGGCTGTGCTTTGGGTTTCCCCTGGCTCAGCCTACAAGAGCTTAAGAAGGAAGAGTCAGCGGTGGCCCTGGAAGCTCCTGTAATCATTCAGTCCTACGTGAATATATTGATTACTCCAGAGAGATTATACAGGCAGGTATATTATAAACTTCTCCTCATGGAGAGCACCTGTCCAATGTAGAACGGTATTCCTAAGCCGCCGTGTGAAACACAGTTATATTATTAGCAATTGCAAGAATTGGAACTTTGAAGAAAAGGTCTGTGAAATAACAGCATCCAAAATGGCAGCCAAGTCCTAGCCACACTTGAGTTTCCTGAAACACAGAGCCCGCGACTTAAAAAGACGGTCTACCCAATTTGGCGGGGACCGACCATTTTGCAACTGATTCTTCCTTCCTGAATTCCTTGTCGGGCCTTACCTCCCATGACAAGGGATCACAATTGCTCTCACCGCACTTTCTGCATGCCCGCTCCCCTGCACACACCCTTTTTTTTATGCCTTGGTACCCATCAAGAGCTCCCCTTGCTAGTTCCTTTTCTTCTCTCCTCAAGCAAAAATACTGTGTAAAGTGCTATGGTAAAATGCTCCAGGAACGAATGTAAAGGCCGAGGTGACAGGGGGAGGTTCCTTTCTTCAAGAAGCAATATCGTAGAGGTGGGCTGTCAGGGAGCCTGCAAGATCTGAAGTTTCAGGGACTGAATGAAAGGAACACTCGGCTAACAAAACAGAGTGCCGCCGAGGACGCTTCATCTGCTAGGGCCAAATCCCTTCTTTCTTTCTATCCTTTCTTTCCTAATAACAGCTGCCCTCTCATTCCATGTTACTCTGCTGTGAAGAACAAAACCTCCCTCTGACTATCTGTTTTTCTTTTCTTCCCCAGAGTAGGTCTCATTACTGGTGATTAGCAGATGATTAAAACCAATTCAGCTTCCCCCAGTAGATATTTTCTCCCTGTTTGTGCCTAACGCGTCAGCCTTCAATGAACGTGCTCCTAAGCTTATTAACAGGCTCAGAGGATTAGCTGCCGCCAAGCTCGGTGGCTCCCATATTGTGATGCAGGGAGTGACATGGAACCATTTGCTGAGCGCAGACAGGACCGCTGGGACCAAACTATCTAAATCACAATTTTATTTTCCATGTAGAGCAAGATAAAAGAAAACCTAACAATAATTACAAAAATCAAACGTTTGGACAAGTCTGAAAATATCCTTATATTCAGTGGCAGAAAACAGGCTAAACCAATCAAGAAGGGCATCAATGTTGTGCGTGTGTGTGAAGGTGTGTGTGTAGTTCACATGAATGTAGAGTCATGTGGTTTATCTATGCTCCTGTCCATGTACAAAGATAAAAGTTCTCGTTTAGCCTCTGCATTCACTCTGGTGCCTAAACAGCCTGTGTTTGTACAGTCACATATGGATAGATTTTTCTTTTAACAGAGACTGAAGAATCGTGAACATAGAGTATAACAGGCTATGAATTTTGGTAATATTTTAAAGAGCATCTAATCCTCCAAAATTGTGAAACTTGAGTTGGATATTGGCAGATACAGACAAAGGAATTCCAAGTAACTGGTTTCACTTCTGTTTCAAAACCAGAAATATACCATACGGTTTTTAAAGTTTAGGAGGACTGTCTCCCTATCTGAAAGTGTTTTATTTCTTGGATAACTAACTAAACAATAATGATAATAATAGTCACAAAAGAATAGTGATATATTTATTAGCTGGGACCATAATTAGTAGGTTAGAAAGCAAAAAGGAACATTGCTTCAGTTCTAAAAGGAGAAAAACCTCATGGTCTGACTCTGGTAGATGCACTTAAAAGGTTGTATTCTGGGGGGACGGGACTGCTTTATTGTTACAAATGATCTCTTATTCTAAATCTTTCAGTTTTTCTCATTTAGTTTTTTCTACCTTTTCAATGCAGCTTAACTCTGAGCATGCTGGAGCTTGAAATCTAGTTTCCGATTCATAATAGCAACAGGGTTTGCAGAAAATGTCAACAAATCCCTCATCATCAGGAAATGTAAGAAATGTGAAAGGTAAGTCATGTCAGTCTCCCCTGGTTGCGTGACGGAATAAGACTGTGGATGAAGAGAAGGAAGGAAAAATCCAAGCAAAACAGATACTACAACCAGGCTCTGAAACCCAGCAGTGCTAGTAAAACAAAGGAAAACCCGAGGAAACAATAGGGAAGTAACGAGGAATTAGAGGAAGATATTGTCAATCACTCAAAATGGCACAATCACATTTTATTTAATTCCAATCATTTAATATCTAAGAGAAAATGACAGACAAGGAGTTCTTATTGGTTCAATTTTACCAGCATTAAAAAATTTCCAGGAATACCCCTGACCTTGGATGGCCCCAATAAGTAGGTAATTGCTAAAGGATCAATTCTCTCCTCATTAAACAATAGGCCCCAAACAAATGCAATATGTGCAATCAAATGACAGTGAAGCACAGCTGAAGGTAACAGAATACAAAGAAAGCTTAAGAATGATATTCACAAAAGTGCTGTGATAAATACCAGGAAAACATTTATAATCAAGGACCCATAACAATGTAACTGGGATGTGCAGGAGAAAGTGATGGTTTAATAAGCTTCAAAATCATTTCACGACATGCCTATGAGGCATAACATACAGGAAGAAAGCATTGCAGATGATTACACAAAGATAAATATTGTTTCATGAAATATTTTTGCTTAGAAGTATTTCACTGGGACTTGAGAGAGTTTCAACATCAGTATAGAGGCAAGTTCATAAGCAGGGCAGTACCAGCCTCAATAGATGAATAAAAGAAACTATGCCATGGGAAGGGGAAGATATTTCTGTTGCCTCCTCAGCCAGCTCTGCATAGCACAAGGCCAGTGCAACATTTTGAACTGACATCCTCTCACCTACTGAATTAAGCATCACAAAAATAGAATCACTTGCTTTTTTTCCTGCAATTCCTAAAAAACAACTCCACAGAAATGGTGGATCAAAGTGCAATGACTATCATGCTGCTTAAGGAATCCTAGAATTATTTCTGACTTCTTAATAGAGAGGGTCATTTTTTCCTTCACTTTTTTTCCTTCACAATTTGCCCTGTTTTCTTGTTTTCAGTGTTATAAGATAGAATTGCACAATCCTTATGTTAGCACCTGTCAGGAGAAAATGCTGCCTTCACACTCCCGCTCTCATTATCACCAGGGTAAAAGGCGGTTAACAACTATAGACTTAGGTTTGGACCAGCTCCGAAAATTACTAATGTTATAACCTTGATGAATTTACTTCGCCTCTTTGAATTTCAGTTATGTCATCTGGAGTATATGGGAAACAATACTTCTTTCTTAGAATTAGCAGGATTAATAACATAACGAGGGTTAGTCAATGTTCATGAAGGACTCAACGTAGCACTTGGCATAGAGTTAGCTCACAGTGAATGTCACTCATATTATTAGTAGTGTCATCAAGAGAGACACATTTTATCTAATACTTTCTGATGTAGATGAGACAGCACTAAAGGAATTATTTGAATGAATGAAAATACTTATATGAAGTTTGAGAGAGAGGAGCTGTCTCTGAGAAACCTGACTCTTGCAGGAGTAGAAACCTGGAAGTGGATCAAGCAGAAAGATACAAGTATAAGGGACAAGGTGCTCATTAAAAGATCAATAGCAATAAATGGGTGTTAGAGATAATAAATACAATCAGAGAGGGGAGGGGGTTGCTAAAAGCTAGGAAACATGGTACTAGAACTGGGGCTTGAAGAGAGAGGTGAAGAAAGCAGAAAAGGAGCCTTCCCAGGAGGGTCATCCAGGCATTCTCTTTCCCTTTATGTACAGGATTCTGTCCAGCCAGCAACCCCCTGGATACTTCCAGAGCAGGGGGCTTGTATGCTATTATGTGTGAATGAATATTCCACTGGTGGGTGGGTTATTACTATTATTATTAATGATAATTCTACTTTAAACCACAGCCAATTTAACCCAACCATTTGGAAGAGCTACATCGCTCTATTATCCAATTGATAATTTCAGGGTTTTATTCACAGGCACAATCATGAGAAAAACAAGGAGAAGACAGTCTGTTGGTTGTGTACATATGCATCAACTTTGCTTTTTGAGAACATAATTGGGGACGGGAGTCACAAAGAAAAGATCATTAAGAGTTACAAAGAAAAAAAGGAAAAAAGAATTAAAAAAAAAAAAAAAAGAACCCACACACATTGCCTTCTTGTGCCATGTGCCAAGCCCTGGGAGGCCTGTTCTACTTCATTTGAGCTGGAGGCAGCACCCGGCCAAGTAGGGTGGTAAGGGAACAGGGCAGGGTGCCTCAGAGGCTTGCAGGGCAAGGAAATAACAGGCACATAAGGGCAAAGGAAAGTGCTGTGTTGGGAGAGAGCTGCAAGGGAATTTTCTTCCATTTAAACATTAGGCAAAAACAGCAAACATAGCTCCTGGCCGAGGCTGCCCCCTCCCCACTCCCATCCATGCAATAAACAAAATGTCCTCAGCTAGCTGGGATCTCTTCTCTAATAATCTACAGATCAGTAACTAAGGCCCTTAGTGATGTGTGGGTTAGCAACCCAGTCAATTCCTTCCTGCAGTCTAAAAGCAGAGGGGAAGCCGGGAGGAGGGTGCACATTGGGTGGACCTGGTGAGCCCCCTACTGCTAATCCCAGAAACAATCAAACGGTGAGGGGATGGAGGGTGTTAACATGTTGGCAAAGGCAAACGCATGCCCGTTCCACATTGCTGGAGAGAAATCGAGGATCAATTCAGCAAAATAGTTTCATGGAGAAGCAAACAGCTTGTTGGTTTTAGCTAAACGTAAAAAGACAATTAGAAATATTGAAGGTTAAAATCGATCCATCATTTAAAAACTGTAAGTAGATATTCCTAACAACTTCTGAAGTAAGTTAGGTAGCAATAAAATAACTCACTCTTAGGATGGGCAGATAGCCATTTCTCTCTCTCTCTCTCTCTCTAGCTAGCTATCTTTTTCATATTTTTTTCTGTAGTACTAGCCATAAGTCTTTGAAGGCACAGTCTATTACCTTTTGTATTTTCTTACAGAAACTACCTCAGTGCAGTGGAATAAATAGTGTTGAACGAATATATAAGTGAAAACATTCTGGATAAGGCTCTATAAAGAAATGACAAGTTGCAGATACAGGATTAGCACATTTACTTTAAAGTGATACAGTAGTGATGTTTCACCCTGCCTTAACTGTTTTCAGCTGCTTTTGATTCTTATTCTGTTGTACCATCGAGAGGTGTGATTGTAAAGTATGAAGGAGGTCTCCTATCCCATGGATACTGTAGCATTTTAGTGTCAGCTTCTGCTCAGAAATAATAACAGCTAATACTCATGTGCCAGGCAGTTTTCCAAGTACTTGATGAAGATTAACACATTTAAACCTTATACCAATCCCATAAATTAGGAACTGTTAGGATTTTTCATTTTATACATAGGGAAACCCTGCATGGATAAGTACAGTGTCTGTCTTGATCAGTTTGGGCTTCTCTAACAAAATGCCTTAAACTAGGTAGCTTATAAACAATAGAAATGTATTTCTTACAGTAGTGGAGGATGGGAAGTCCTAGATCAAGGCATTGGCAGACTCAACGTCTGACGTAGCCCTGCTTGCTGGTTCATGGATGGTGCCTTCTGACTGCGTTTTCACACTGTGGAAGGGGCAAGGCAGTTTTCTGGGCTCTCTTTCATAAGGGCACTAATCCCACACAGGAAGGCTCTTCCCTCATGACCTAATCACCTCCTAAAAGCCCCACCTCCTAATACCATCACATTGGTGACTAGTTTTTTAACATGAATTTTAGGGGACACACACATTCTGATCATAGCATTGTCTAAGGTCCCAGATGTAGAAATTGAAGGTGTCAGGAGTCGAACTCAGACATTCTAGCTTTATAAGCTGAGTCCTGAGGCATTTCTGTCTCTGAGCATGGTTCTTTTCCTCCTATTTTATAAAATTTCTTGGAAGTTCCTGTTGCTTAGCAGTCTTAAGAAGTAGACCTAATGCGAGCAATAATTTTTCAAATGCTACATTTCAGTAACGGTAGGAAATGACAACCAAATACCTGATACCTGTGTAAATACCTATCTTACACTCTTCATATGGAAAGATTCAGAATAACTAAGAGAATACTCTAAACCTTCTTGATGCAACAAACTAAGTAATCATTGTATTTTCATATATACTGCAAGCCTGAAGAGACTGTAAAATAAAGGAGGTAGGTTTATTGGATAGTTTTAGCTTTTAGTACTCCTCATTCCAATGCAGGGTATGAAAGGATTCATTCAATCTTTATAACCTAGAAAATCCCACCAGGGTTTTTGTAAAGACATAAAATTGTTTGGTAGACCTAAATTATAATTTTTTTATCCCATCTACTACAAAATATTGAAAGCACATCATATGCTAAAAGCAATGCAATTTATTATATATTAAAATGATACAACAGTGCATCTTGAGGAGTTCATGGTGTTCAAAAAGAAAGAAGGAAGGGGGGAAAGAAGGAAACATAAAATTTAACTACAAAGTTGCAGAGATGTGATTATTACTTGACATCCAAGATGAATTAATTGCTGTACTTTTAAATTAAATGTATCATAAAATATATAACATAAATGTATCATTATAGTTAATATATATTAAACATTTTATATTTATGTATTGTATAAACCATGTTAAGAAGTACTTGTCATATCTTCAATTCATAGTTTATTAATAGTGCTAAATATAAATGAACACAGTGATTCACATTCCACTTGAGTAGATCTCTGCTTTTGTGTGACAAATATAACATGAGCAAATCTCTGGAGGCTTCTGAATTGAATTATCACATCATTGATACCTTTTTATTAAAGACATCTTAGGTTAAGATAAAATACCACTTGATGCTGAAAGGCAAGCTGATCAACTAATTACTTGTCAAGTTTCAAAAAAGATTCCCAGAAAACAAACAAGAGGAACACTTTTGAAATTGAAATATAATTATAAAGTAATAAAGATTATGTAGCACTTAGGTCCTTGAGTGTTGACACTGAACAATCAAACATGTGCCTGAGAAATGGTTTGAATTTTCCCAGGCAAAATGTTTTCTTTCAGCATTCTAGGGCAGTGGCTTTGGGTGGAAATCTAGACTGGCTTTCAGTGTCAGTGGAATCCAAGAATGTTGAATGTCTCATACTTGAAACACAGCACAGCTGTCAGAGCAGCACTTTGAACATATCTAGCTTGTGACTGATCATTAATTGACTGATATCTCCAAAGCTGGAATTGGGAAAGCATGCCATTTTCCATGCGTGCAGAACACTGATGTAGAGTTCAATGTATATGGAGGAAATTTTTAAACTTCTTTTAAAATGTAGGGTTGGTTAAGATGCCGAAATACTTGTAAGATTTTTGCACTTCATTGAAAGGTATAAGGTCAATACCAATGGACTATGATAAGTTATGCATGTACATTGTAATACCTAGAGCAACCACTATGAAAAATTATACAATTCAATGTATGCAAAAACACTATAAATGGATCAAGATAGACTCCTATAAATTGTTTTTTTGTTGTTGTTGTTGTTAACTGGGTAAGTTAAGAAAAAAAAAGCAAGAGAGAAATGGAGAAAAAAGAATCAGAGGAAACACAGAAAACAAATGATAAATTGTCAGAGTTAAGCCTCAATATATCATTAATGACTTTAAATATAAATGATTTAACTACACTCTTCTAGAGATAATAATAGATTGAACAAAATAAGAAACCTAAATATATACAGTTTGTAAGAAATTTACCTGAAACTCAATGGTATGGGGATGGTGAAGGTAAAAGTACAGGGAAAAGATGTACCATGTGTACATTAATCCAGAAAATAAATAAGGTAGAAATCAGAAGATAGAAAGAATCGAGACAAAGAAGGCATTATATAATGATAAAAGGATAAACCACAAGTAAATATATGTATATTATATATAACATATAATATATATAATTTTAATATATGTAATATATAATATGTAATTATATATTATATAATATTGTATACATATAAAGAGAGAGAGACAGAGAGAGGAAAGAGACTAGTTGCTTGAAAACTACAACCTGCCAGAATCAAACTATAATGAAAAGGTAACTTCAATAGTTTTGTAATCACTGAAGGAATTAAATTAAGAAAAAAATAACACCAATACTACACAAATTCTTTCAGGAAATAGGAAAGAAGGGGGCATTTTCAACTCGTTTTTTGAGATTAATTTTGCCCTTATACCAAAATTATACAGTACTAAGAGAAAAGAAAAAGAAAGCTACAAACTAATATGTCTTATGAACTTAGATTCAAACTTCTTTAAAAAAATCAGCAAATATAATCTAGCAAGCTATAGTAAGAATTATAAAATATGTACAAGTGGGATTGATTCTAGGTATACAAGACTGCTTTGACATTTGAAAATCAATGCAATCCATAATATAAATAAGCAAAAGAATAAAAATCCTACAGTCATATCTATAGAGACAGAAAAAGCATTTGACAAAATCCAACAACTATTCATAATAAAAAATCAAAACAAAATAAAACTCTCTGTAAACTAGAAATAGAAGAAAGTTCCATAACATGATAAATAGCACCTACAAAAAAACCTGTACCTAACATCACACATAGTGGGGAAAGATTTTGCCCTAAGGTTGAGAACTATTCAAGGACATATTCTTTCACCACTTTCATTTAACATAATAGAATTTCTAGCAATTGCAATAAGGCAAGAAAAAGAAACAAAATGTATTCAGATAAAAAGGATATAAAACTATTCTTATTTAAGTTGACATGATTGTCTACATAGAAAGTCTCAAGGAATCTGAAGAACGAACAAACTAATAACAAACAAACTTTCTTCTACAGTTAATTAGTGAGTTCAGAGAGGTCTCAAAATCCAAGATCAGTACAAAAAATTCAAACATATTTTTGTATACTAACAATGAATATGTGGAAAGTAAAATTTAAAATATGGTACCAAGTAGAAATACCACAAAGAAAGTTATAATTAGGAATAAAGTTAAACTACACAATATAGTTTAGTATAGAATCTGTCTGATGAAAAATTATAAAATGTTGAGAAAGAAATAAAAGAAACCTAAATAATTGAAAATTGAAGAGGCATACAGTGTTTATTACATGGAAAATTCAGGTAGAAAAGGTGTCAGTTCTCCCCACATTGAGCTCTCAATTTAATGCAATTCCTACCAAAATCCCACCAAGGTTTCTGTACACATAGATAAGCTCATTCAAAAGTTTCTGTGGAAGGGCACAAGCTAAAACAATCTTTAAAAAATAATAATAATAAAATGGGAAGGCTCACTCTACAGATATTAAGGGCTACTCTATAGCTACAGTAGCCAAAGCTATGTGGTATTATCAGAAGGATAAATAAAAAGATTAATAAGACAGAAAACCCAGAGACAGTCACACATAAATATGGCCAACTGACTTTTGACAAATGTGCAAAACCTATTCAACATATTTACAATAGTGCCATAGACTAAATTGTATCCCATTCAAAAATTCATATGTTGGCCGGGTGTGGTGGCTCATGCCTGTAATCCCAGCACTTTGGGAGGCCAATGTGGGTGGATCACCTGAGGTCAGGAGTTTGAGACCAGCCTGGCCAACATGGTGAAACCCCATGTCTACTAAAATACAAAAATCAGCCAGGTGTGGTGGCAGGCACCTGTAATCCTAGCTATTTGGGAGGCTGATGCACAAGAATCACTTGAACCCAGGAGGCGGAGGTTGCAGTTAGCCAAGATCATGCCACTGCACTCAAGCCTGGGCAACAGAGTGAGACTTTGTCTCAAAAAAAAAAAAATCATATGTCAAATCCCTAACCCCCAATGCAGCTGTATTAGGAGATGGGCATTGGGGAGGAAAATAGGGTTAGATGAGATCATGAGGGTGGAGTCCTTACGATGGAGTTAGTGGCTTTATAAAAAAAGAAAGAGAAGTGAGATTTCGCTGTTCCTGCCATGGAAGGACACAGTGAGAAGGTGGCTGTCTAGAAGCCAGAAAGAAAGCCCTCATCAGAAATTAAACCGACCACCACCTTGGTCTTGGACTTTCTGTCTCCAGAACTTTGAGAAATAAATGCCTGTTGTTTAGGCCACCCATCCTTTCTATGATACTTTGTTATAGAAATCTCAGGACACTAATACAGATTGTCTTTTCAATAAATGGTTTTGAAGACCTGGACATCTGGAGTCCAGAGTTCAGAAATAAAGCCACACACTTACAACCATCTGATCTTTGACAAAATCAACAAAAAACAAGACATGGGGAAAGGACTCCCTATCTAATAAATGGTGCTGGGATAACTAGCTTGCCATATGCACAAGACTGAAACTGGACCACTTGCACACACCATATACAAAAATCAACTTAAGGCAGACTAAATACTGAAATGTATAACCTAAAACTAGCAAAACTCTAGAAGAAAACCTAGGAAGTAGCATTGTGGACATAAGACCTGGCAAAGATTTCATGATGAGGACACCAAAAGCAATTGCAACAAAAGCAAAAATTGACAAATGGAATCTAATAAAACTAAAGAACTTCTGCACAGCAAAAGAAACTATCAAAAGAATAAACAGACAACCTATGGAATGGGAGAAAAATTTTTTGTAAACTATGCATCTGATAAAGGTCTAATATCCAGCATCTTGAAAGAACTTAAATTTACAAGAAAAAAAAATTTAAAAATGGAGAAAGGACATGAATGACACTTTTCCAAAGAAGACTATGTCCTCACCCAAATCTCAACTTTTCAGAAGAAGACAGGAAAATGTGAGAAAGTTTGAAGCTTCCTAGAGACCTGTTGAATGGCTTTGACCAAAAGCATGATAGCAACATGGACAATAAGGTCCAGGCTGAGGTGATCTCAGATGGAGATGAGGAACTTGTTGGGAGCTGGAGCAAAGGTGACTCTTCCTATGTTTTTAGCAAAGAGACTAATGGCATTTTGCTCCTGCCCTAGAGATTTGTGGAACTTTGAACTTGAGAGAGATGACTTAGGGTATCTGGCAGAAGTTTCTAAGCAGCCAAGTATTCAAAACGTGACTTGAGTGCTGTTAAAAGCATTCCATTTTAAAAGGGAAACAGAGACTAAAAGCTCAAAAAATTTGCAGCCTGACAACGCAGTAAGAAAGAAAAACTCATTTTTTGAGGAGAAATGCAAGCCAGCTGCATAAATTTGCATAAGTAGCAAGGAACCTAATGTTAATCCCCAAGATCGTGGGGAAAATGTTCCAGGCTATGTCAGAGACCTTCACAGCAGCCCCTCCCATCACAAGCCCAGAGGCCCAGGAGGAGAAAGTGATTTTGTCAGCTGGGCCCAGGGTATCCATGCTCTGTGCAGCCTACAGACTTGTTGTTGCCCTGTGTCCCAGCCATTTAAGTGAAAGGGGCCAAGGCAGAGCTAAGGCTGTGACTTCAGAGAGTGGAAGCCCCAAGCCTTAGCAGCTTCCACATGGTGCTGAGCCTGGAGGGGCACAGAAGTCAAGAATCGAGGTTTGGGAACCTCTGCTTCGATTTTAGAAGATGAATGAAAATGCATGGATGCCCAGGCAAAAGTTTGCTGCAGAGGTGGGGCCCTCATGGAGAACATCTGCTAGGGTAGTGTGGAAGAAAAATGTGGCATCAGAGCCCCCACACAGAGTTCCCACTAGGGCATTGCCTAGTGGAGCTGTGAGAAGAGTGCCACCATCCTCCAGACCCCAGAA
The DNA here is from genome assembly GCF_000001405.40 of Homo sapiens. Lineage (NCBI taxonomy): Eukaryota > Metazoa > Chordata > Mammalia > Primates > Hominidae > Homo > Homo sapiens. The sequence continues at coordinate 103,187,490 of NC_000002.12, forward strand.
TGGTAGATCTACTGACAGTTTGCACTGCATGCCTGGAAAAGCTGCAGACACTCAACCCCAGCCCATGAAAGCATCTGGGAGGGAGGCTGTATCCTGCAAAGCCACAGGGGTGGAGCTGCCCAATATCATGGGAACCCACCTCTTACATCAGTGTGATCTGGATGTGAGACCTGGAGTTGAAGGAGATCATTTTGGAGCTTTAAAATTTTACTGCCCCACTGGATTTCGGACTTGAATGGGCCCTGTAACTCTTTTGTTTTGGCCAATTTCTCATATTTGGAATGGCTGTATTTACCCAATACCTGTACCCCCATTGTATCTAGGAAGTAACTAGCTTGCTTTTGATTTTACAGGCTCATAAGGAGAAGGGATTTGTCTTGTCTCAGATAAGACTTTGGACTGTGGACTTTTGGGTTATTGTTGAAATGAGTTAAAACTTTGGGGGACTTTTGGGAAGGCATGATTGGTTTTGAAATGTGAGGACGTGAGATTTGGAGGGGCCAGGAGCAGAATGTTATATTTTTGTTCTATAGCCACCCAAATCTCAATTTGAACTGTATCTCCCAGAATTCCCACATATTGTGAGAGGGACCCATGGGGAGGTAATTCAATTATGGGGGCTGGTCTTTCCCATGCTATTCTTGTGATGTGAATGAGTCTCACAAGATCTGATGGGTTTATCAGGGTTTCTACTTTTGCTTCTTCCTCATTTTCTCTTCCCACCACCATGTAAGAAGTGCCTTTTGCCTCACACCATGATTCTGAGGCCTCCCCAGCCATGGGAAGCTATAAGTCCAATTAAACCTCTTTTTCTCCCCAGTCTTAGGTATGTCTTTATCAGCTGCATGAAAACGGACTAATACACTAATCATTAGAAAAATGCAAATCGAAACCACAGTGAGATACCATCTTACACCAGTAAGAATGGCTATTACTAAAAAGTCAAAAAGTAACAGATGCTAGCAAGGTTGCAGAGAAAAGGGAACAATTATACATTGCTGATGGGAATGTAAATTAGTTCAGCCATGTGGAAAGCAGATTGGTGATTTCTTAAGTAACTTAAAACAGAATTATCACTTGACCCAGCAAATCCATTATTGGATATATACTAAAATAATTATAAATCATTCTTCCATAAAGACAAATGCACACATATGTTCATTGCAGCACTATTCACAATTTCAAAGACATAGAATCAACCTAGGTACCCACCAATAGTGGATTGGATAAAGAAAATGTGGTACATATACACCATAGAGTACTACACAGCCATAAAAAAGAATGGGATCATGTCCTTTGTAGCAATATGGATGGAGCTGGAGGCCATTTTCCTAAGCTAACTAACACAGGGACAGAAAACCAAATACTACATATTCTTACTTATGAGTGGGAGCTAAACACTGAGTAGAGATGAACAAAAGAAGGGAACATCCAATGCCAGGACCTACTTATGGTTAATGGTGGGACAAGAATGAGAGTCAAAATACTACCCATGAAGTACTATGCTTATTACCTGGGTAATCAAATAATCTGTACATCCAACCCTCATGACACACATTTTACCTACATAACAAGCCTGCACATGTACCTGTGAACCTAAAATAAACGATAAAAAAGAGCCTTGACCTACACCTGACATCTGATTAAAATTAGAATCAAAATGAAACACAGATGTGAACATAAAACACAAATCTATAAAACTTTTAGGAAAAAAATGCAAGAGCAAATCTTTGCTGCCTAAAGCAAAAAGATAGTTAGACTTAACACCAAAAGCGTGACTCTCAATTGAAAAATAATCAATACATTAAACCTCTTAAAGTAAAAACTTTCCCTCTGGAAAAACCCGTGTTTAAAGGAGGAAAAGACAAACTACAGACTGGAAGGCGATATTTGCAAACCCCGTATCTGACAAAGAAGTGATATGTAGAGAAAGAGATCTTCAAGGGATCAGGCAAGATAGCTGAGTAGATATAGCCAGGTGGACAGGGATGGAGAGGACTGGTGCACTCCTAACAGATCTTCAGAGGGAAGGCACCAAGAGTAGATGGAGGGAAGACACATAAACTGGGCTGATGGAGGAGGCAGCTGGGAGCCCTACACAGGGCTATGCACACCGGGACTTGTTCCTGGCCTCCAATAACTCTAGAGGAATGGGAGCAACCCACCCTTGCGATGGGCCCCTGGAATTCTGGAAGGAAGATATGCCTCGACCACCACCGACATTCAAATTGGCAAGGAGAACTGTTTACAGAAGTTGTAGGGGCAGCAAGTCAGCTGATGTGGAGCCCAAAAGGTTTGGTGTGGGAGAGTCTGTAGCAGAGCACACCTAGAGATGGTCATATCGCTTGGCTCCACTTGCTCTCATAGGAAACTTTAGCCCTAGGGAAATTGTCAGACCTAAACTCTGCAGGGTGGTCTCGCCCATTAGAAGAGACCAGTCCAACCTGAGTGCTCCTTGGTCTTCTGGCCTCTCCTAAGGTCCCAGCCTGCCAGTGCCTGCTTGCAAAACAGCCTCAGGTGCCCTGAGGGCCTGCATCATAGCTTCTGCACTGGTGGACTATACCTGACTGGCAGAGAGCTCCAGCAGGGCAGCCCCGAGGACCACACAGCAGCCCAGTAGCTCTCTCCCTACACTGCAGCTTCCCCAAGGCCCACGGCAACCACTTACATTGCTTTGCTGGTGACTGTGTGTGGGGATGGGTTTTGCTTTCCTTGACCTGCCAGTGCCTGCGTATATGCATGCACCCTGCTCTGCCACTGCCGAGGTGGTAGTGGAGTTCACTCCCACACCCCCGCCAACTGCCATTGCAGTCAGAGCCTTAGCAGGCACAGAGCAGCCAGCCCCACCCTGACCAGCATCCCACTCTTATTCCAACACTGCCACTGGAGTGAAACTAGGCACAGAGAATAACAAATTCTTCCCTGCCTGGAGCACCCACCCCAGCCTGCAATGCACAGAATATGCACAACGACCTGTGCCTGCCAGGACCCCCTACCCCTCATGCCAACATCACCACCAGTGCAACTATGTGCACAGTCACCAGCAGCTCCCTCTGCCAAGCCACATTTCCTCCACCCCTGTTGTGAACACCTTCATGGAGGCAGGCACCCTAGCACCAGCTAGCACCCTGCCGCAGCCAAGAAGCATGCACCCTACTGTGCTGCCACAGCCACTGCTGCTGACATTTGCAAATGAAGACAGATCCTGGGGTCATCACATTACAAAATGCTTTGGGTGACATCGTCCATCAGAGTTTAATGAATAATGGTCTGGGAGCACCTTGGGCCACCCCAGGGCAGTGGGTTCCTAAGTGCACGGAGCCAGAGAACAAAGTCAGGGTCCATTAGGAGTCCCCCAGGGTTAAAGCACACAGTCTAAGAGTAGGGAGCTGAGTGTTAGCCCCCCAAAATCTTCCAGAAACAAAGCCAGTCAACTAAGTCACCCTCATACCACAATCAAACCCTCAAGGCCATCAAATAGGATAAAAGAAAACAAAGCCCATCTGAAAGTCAGCAACTGCAAAGATTGAAGGAACATAAGCCAACAAAGAGGAGAAAGAACGAGTACAAGAGCCCTGAGAACTTAAAAAGCCAGAGTGCCTTCTTTCCTGCAAAAGACCACACCACCTCTCCAGCAAGGGTTCTGAACCAGGCTGAGATGGCTGAAATGACAGAAATAGAGTTCAGAATATAGATAGGAATGAAGATCATTGAGATGCAGGAGTATGTTGAAAGCCAATCCAAGGAAGCTAAGAATCACAATAAAATGATACAGGAGCTGACAGACAAAATGGCCATTATAGAAAAGCATGTAACTGACAGAGCTGAAAAACACACTACAACAATTTCAAAATGTAATCACAAGTATTAATAGCAGAATAGACAAAGCAGAAGGAAGAATCTCAGAGCTTGAAAACTGGTTTTCTGAAATTAGATAGTCAGAGAAGAATAGAGAAAAAAGAGTGAAAAGGAATGAACAGAACCTCTGAGAAATATGAGATTGTGTAAAGAGACTGAATCTATGACTCATTGGTGTTCCTGAAAGAGATGGGGAGCATGTAGGCAACTTGGGAAACCTATTTCAATGTATCATCCATGAGAACTTCCCCAACCTAGACAGAGAGGCCAACATTCAAATTCAGATGATGTAGAAAACCTCAGTCAGATACTTCAAAAGAAGATAATCCCCAAGACACATAATCATCAGATTCTCCAAGGTCAAAATGAAAGGAAAAATGTTAAAAGCCACTAGAGAGAAAGGTCAGGTCACCTACGGAGTGAAGCCCAACAGTACAATAGCAGATGCCTCAGGAGATACATTACAAGCCAGAAGAAATTGGGGCTAATATTTGTCATTCTTAAAGAAAAAAAAATTCCTACCCAGAATTTTATAGTTAGCAAAACTAAGCTTTACAAGGAACAGAAAAATAAGATCATTTTCAGGCAAGCAAATGCTGAGAATTTGTTAGCACCAGACTTGCCTTACAAGAGCTCCTGAAGGAAGCACTAAATGTGGAAAAGAAAGACCATTACTAGCCACTACAAAAAACACCCTTAAGTACAAAGATGAGTGACCCTGTAAAGGAACCACACAGGCCAGGCATGGTGGCTCATGCCTGTAATCCCAGTAATTTGGGAGGCTGAGGTGAGTGAATCTCTTGAGCTCAGGAGTTCAAGACCAGCCTGGGCAACATAGTGAGACCCCATCTCTACTAAAAACACAAAGAATTAGCCAGGCATAGTGGTGCACAGCTGTGGTCTCAGTTCCTTGGGAGGCTGAGGTAGGAGGATCACTTGAACCTGGGAGTGGAGGTTGCAGTGAGCCAAGATCATGCCACTGTACTGAAGCCTGGGTGACAGAGCAAAAGCCTATCTCAAAAATAAATGAAATAAATAAATAAATAAATAAACCACATAAACAATTCTGCCTAGTAACCAGCTAACATCATTATGACAAGGTCAAATCCACACATATCGATACTCACCTTGAATGTAAATGGACTAAATGCTCTAATTAAAAGGCACAGAGTGGTAAGCTGGATAAAGAACCAAGAGCCATTGATACGCTGTCTTCAGGAGACCCAGCTCCCATGTAATGACACCCATAGGCTCAAAGTAAAGAAATGGAGACAAATCTACCAAGCAAATATAAAACAGAATGAAGAAGGGGTTGCAATCATAATTTTATACAAAACAGACTTTAAGCCAACAAAGTTCAAAAAAGACAAAGAAAGGCATTATACAATGGTAAAAGGTTCAATTCCACAAGAAGACCTAACTATTCTAAATATATACGCACCCAACACAGGAGCACCTAGATTCATAAAACAAGTTCTTAGAGACCTTCAAAGAGACTTAGACTTGCACATAATACTAGCAGGAGACTTCAACACCCTACTGAATGTATTAGACAGATCATCAAGAAAATCAACTAAGTTATTCAGGACTGAAACTCAGCACTGGATCAAATGGACCTGATAGATATCTACAGAACTCTCCACCCCAAAACAACAGAGTACAATTTTTTGTTCATTGCTAAATGGCACAAATTTTAAAATTGATCACATAATTGGACATAAGACTCTCCTTAGCAAATGCAAAAGAACTGAAACTATAACAACCAATATCTCAGATCACAGCACAATTAAATTTACAATTACATGGAAATTCAATAACCTGCTCCTGAATGACTTTTCATTAAATAATGAAATTAAGGCAGAAATCGAGAAGTTCTTAGAAACTAATGAGAAGAAAGATACAATATACCAGAATCTCTGGGACACAGCTAAGGAAATATCAAGAGGGAAATTTATAGCACCAAATGTCCACATCAAAAAGTGAAAAAGATCTCAATTTAACAATCTAACTCACAACTAAAAGAACTAAAGAACCAAGAAAAAACCACCCCAAAGGTAGCAGAAGACAAGAAATAAACAAAATCGGAGCTGAACTGAAGGAGATTAAGATATGAAAAAAACAATTTAAAAGATCAACAAATCCAGGAGCTGGTTTTATGAAAAAATTAATCAAACAAACCACTAGCTAGACGAATAAAGGAGAAAGGAGAGAAGACCCACATAAACATAATTAGAAATGACAAAGGAGATATTACCACTGACCCCAGAAATACAAATAAACATCAGAGAATACTATGAAGACCTCTATGCACATAAACTAGAAAATCTATAAGAAACAGATAAATTCCTTGTTACATACACCCTCTCAAGACTGAGCCAGGAAGATGTTGAATTCCTGAACAGAAAAATAATGGGCTCTGAAATTGAATCAATAAGAAATAGCTTACCAACTAAAGAAAGCCCAGGACCAGATGGATTTACAGCTGAATTCTACCAGGTATACAAAGAAGAGCTGGTACCATTCCTGTTGAAACTATTCCAAAATATTGAGGAGGAGAGACTCCTCCATAACTCATCCTATGATGCCAGCATCATTGTGATACCAAAACCTGGCAGAGACATAAAAACAAAAGAAAACTTTAGGCCAAGTTTATGAACACCAATGCAAAAATCCTCAACAAAATACTGGTAAATAAATCCCCAACACATCAAAAAACTTATCCACCACAATCAAATAGGCTCCGGGGATGCAAGGTTGGTTCAACATAAGCAAATCAATAAATGTGATTCATCTCATAAACAGAACTGAAGACAGAAAACCCATGATTATCTCAATAGATGCAGAAAAGGATTTTGATAAAATTCAACAACCCTTCATGTTAAAAACTCTCAATAAACTAGGTATTAAAAGGAACACATTTCCAAATAATGAGACCCACCTATCCATTGATGACAAACCGTAGTGAACATCATACTGAATGGGCACAAAGTTGGAAGCATTCCCCCTGAAAATCAGCACAAGACAGCAATAACCTCTCTCAGCATTCCTGTTTAACATAGTATTGAAAGTCCTAGCCAGAGCAAACAGGCAAGAGGAAGAAATAATGGACATCCAAGTAGGAAGAGAAGAAGTCAAACTATCCCTGTTTACAGAAAACAAGATGCTGTATTTAGAATATCTCACAGTCTTGACCCAAAAGCTCCTTAAGCTAATAACTTCAGTGAAGTCTCAGGATGCAAAATCAATATAAAAAATCTAGCATTCCTAGTAACTATACCAACAACTGAAAGCCTAATTAGGAACGCAATCCCATTTACAATTGCCACAAAAAGAATAAATTACCTAGGAATACAGCTAACTAGTGAGGTGAAAGTTTTCTGTAAGGAGAACTGCAAACCACTGCTCAAAGAAATCAGAGACGACACAAACAAATGGGAAAATATTCAATGTTCACATATAGGAAGAATCAATATCATTAAAAAGGCCATGCTGCCCAAAGCAATTTACAGTCAATGCTATTAGTATTAAACTACCAATGACATTCTTCACAGAGGTAGAAAAAACTATTTTAAAATTCAAATGGAACAAAAAAGAGCCCCAATAGCCAAGGCAAACCAAAGCAAAAAGAACAAAGCTGGAGCATCATGCTACCCGACTTCAAACTATACTACAAGGCTATAGTGACAGCATAGTACTGATACAAAAACAGACACATAGAGCAGTGGAAATGAATAACGAGCCCAGAAATAAGGCTGCACACCTACAGCTATCTGATATTTGACAAGCTCCACAAAAACAAGCAATGGGGAAAGGATTCCCTATCCAATAAATGGTGCTGGGTTAACTGGCTAGCCATATGCAGAAGATTGAAACTGGACCCCTTCCTTACACCATATACAAAAATTAACTCAAGATGGACTAAAGACTTAAATGTAAATCCCAAAACTATAAAAACCCTGGAAGGCAATTAGGCAATAGCATTCTGAACATAGGACTGGGCAAAAATTTCATGACAAAGACACCAAAAGCAATTTGAACAAAAACAAAAATTGACAGATAGGACCTAAGTAAACTAAAAAGCTCCTGCACAGCAAAAGAAACTATTAACAGAGTAAACAGACAAGCAACAGAATGGGAGAAAAGTTTTGCAAACTATGCCTCTGACAAAGGTCTAATATCCAGCATCTATAAGGAACTTAAACGAATTTACAAGAAAAAAATTTAAAAATGGGCAAAGGACATGAACAGACACTTTTCAAAAGACATACATGCAGCCAACAAGCATACAAATTAAAGCTCAACATCACTGATTATTAGAGAAATGCAAATCCAAACCACAGTGAGATACCATCTCACATCAGTCAGAATGGCTATTACTAAAGTCAAAAACAAACAAACAGATATGGGCAAAGTTACAGAGAAAAAGGAATGCTTACACACTTGGTGGGAATGTGAATTAAACAATTGTGGAAAGCAATGTGGCCATTCCTCAAAGACCTGAAAACAAAAATACCATTCAAGCCAGCAATCTCATTACTGGGTATTTACCCAAAGGAATATAAATCATTCTAACATAAAGATACATGTACTAATATGTTCATTGCAGCACTATTCACAATAGCAAAGACATGGAATCAACCTAAAAAACCCATCAGTGGTAGACCGGTTAAATAAAATGTGGTACATATACACCATGAATTACTATGCAGCCACAAAATAGAATGAAATCATGTCCTTTGGAAGAACATGGATGGAGCTAGAGGCCATTACCCTAAGCAAACTAACACAGGAACAGAAAGTCAAATATTGCATGTTCTCACTAATATGTGGGAGCTAAATGATGAGAACACATGGATACGTGGGGGGAACAACAGACACTGGGGCCTATCAGAGGGTGGAGTATAAGAGGAAGGAGAGGATCAGAAAAAATAACTAATGGATACTGGGCTTAATACCTGGGTAATGAAATAATCTGTACAACAAACCCCATGACAGTAGTTTAACTGTATCACAAATCTGCACATGTTAAATTGAAAAAAGAACTGGTATCTAGAATATATAAAGTACTTTCAAAATTCAACAATTAAAAAGATGAACAATCCAAATAGATAATAGACAAAATATAATATGAAAAGACATTTTATAGAAGAGGAAATATAGATGACCAAGAAACACATAACAAGATGTTTTAGCCATTAGGGAAATGCAAATTAAAAACTACAATGAGATAACACTACACACAGTTCAAACTGGCCAAAATGTAAAAATAAGTATTGACAACAACAAGTGTTTGTGAGGACGAAAAGAAATTGGGCCACACCCACCCTGCTAGTGGCAGTATAAAATGGCCTAGCCACTCTGGAAAACAATTTGGAAAATTTCATCTAAAAGCAAACATGTAACTACCATACCATCCAGAAATTGCACTCTTGTGTATTCTAGAGACATGAAAGCTTATATTCACAGAAAATCTGTACATAGATATTCATAGAAGCTTTATTTATAATAGGCCCAAACTGGAAACAACCCAGATGTCCTTCAGGGGGTGAATTGGAAATAAACTGTGGTACATCAATACCAATAAAAATATGAATGAACTACTGATACACATAACATTTTGGATGCATCTCCAGGGAATTATACTAAATGAGGAAAAAAATCCCACATGGTTACATACTGCATGATTCCATTTATATGTCATTCTTGAAATGACAAAATTATAAAAATAGAAGAGAGATTTGTGATTGACAGGATTAGAGAACGGGGAGCTGGGGAAGACAGCTGGATGTGGCTGTAAAAGAGCAACACACGATTCTTGCGGCTTTGGAAAGGCACTGTGTCAATATCAATATCCTGACTGTGTTACTATACCATAGTTTTGTAATGTTATCAGGGGAAGAAACCTGGTAAAGCATACAGGGGATCTCTCTATATTATTTCTTACAATTCATGTGGATTTACAATGATTTCAAAATAAAAAGCTTAAGTGAAAAAAAAGATAGAACATTGTCTTTTTTATTCATACAATGGAAAGTTAGTGAATCGCTGCTCCACTGAGAGGAGGAGTGAAATGACCTGACTTGGATTTTAGAACAATCCCTCTGGCTTCTGCAGCAGGGAATGGTGGAAGTAGGAATTCCGGGATAGATGATATGAAAAAAAATCCAAGATGGAGGTGAGATTGGGTTGGACCAGGGATATCGTAGATGTAGGCGAATTGTTTAGGTTCTAGACCCCTTTTGAAGGTAGAGCAGACAACAATGGCCCATGGATTGCATTTGGGGTGCTAGACTCTCATAATTTTGCCTCCAGCTCATACTTCATCTCTTCTTCATTTGTCTTATGTTGTACAACTCTCTTAAATTCTAGGGCACTTTACTTGTGCACCTTGACATTGGACATTAGCACTTCCTCCTGTCTTCTCCTGGCTAATTTCTACTCACCCTTTAGGTTTCAGTTGACTCAGTTGAAGATATTTTTTTTTTGGAGGATCTTTTCTACAGCTTGGTTTTTAAACAGAAGGTTTTATTTTATTTTATTTTTGCTAAGGCACCAACACAAGAACTGCATCTCAGTTCCTTACTTAGATGAGGAAGGATGATAATATCACTTAATGATTGTCAAATCCCTTCTATGTTCCAGCTACTGGGCTGACTGTATTTTGCGTATAATATTTCATTAAATTCTCAAGATACAGGGAACAACATGAGGAAAGTTTTAGAGTTAGGAAATCAAGGTTGATAACCGTGACATGTCAGATGTTAGCCTCCTCTACTAATTAGAAAATATTTAACAACTAGCTTCAGTTGAAGTCATTTCCTATGTTGCAGGAATTATGCCAAATGCTTTATATGTATTATTGCAATTAGTCCTTGAAAGAAATTTATGAAATAAATACTATTTTGATTTTATAGATGGGTAAACTAAGTCCTGGAGAGGCTAAATAACTTTCCTAAGGTGACATAGCCATTAAGCGGTAAGTCATAGAGCCAGCACTTACTAACTAAAGCCTGTGGGCCTGAAAGCCAGCCTATGTTAACCTACAGCTTCAGGCTCAGTCCCACCACTCTCCCCACCCCACCCCTTAGGAGAGGATTTCCTTCTTAGGTGTGTCTTTCGATTTCCCATTTCCGTTGTGTTACCCATCTGTAACAAGCTTCTTGCCATCCCTTCAGTTTTGCACTTCTCATGAATGGCTTCTCCCCATATATATTCTCATGCATGCAGCCAGCATCACAAAAGGCCCTACCCTTACTTGTCTCTACTCAGATGAGTAATGACTTTTGAAAGCTGATTGGAAACAAATGTTTTATGCACTTTTTATTACAGAGCACATTAAAGTTCACTTCAACACAAGCCCTCAAATCACCTTGGATCTTAAAGAGCTAGTTGGTAAACCAATCTTTACTTGTTTTCATTGACCCAGAAAACTCCCTGGAACTTTCCAAGTGAATAAAGCAAGATGCTTATCCTTAATTGATGACAACCCATCCTTTCAAGCTACTTTGCTTTTCTGGGACATTTGGCAGACAAACCTGGGTTTGTCTCTACTGCAGGTTGTTGAAAATCATTTTATTTTCTGTACTCAATGGCTAATTTTCTTAACTTCACTAACAGGTGAAGGGTGACTCCGACTTTTTATGATGTTGACATATTTATCTTTCAGATCTCAACTATTCAAAGAAAATAAATAGGAAAACTGTTCTCTTTAGCGAGTTAAGTTTAGTGGGCTCAGAATATATACATATATACACACACACATATATAGTGTGTGCTATATGTAAATATATATGTGTATATATGTATATATATAAATATACATAAATATACTTTTAATTGAGCTCATATTCTGGACTATAGCTCAATAAATATTCTCTCACACACACACAAACACACACACACACACACGTATATAAATGAGCTCCATTAAATGACCCTTTCCAACACCTTCCTAGAAGTTGTAGAGGCCTCCCAGATGATCAGCACATTTGCCCATATATCTTTTTTGAAAGTCCTGTATCATGGGGGGAGCTGAGTATACAGTAATTTTTAAAATTCTAAAAAATGAAGTCTCCTTTTAAAAAAAAATCTTGAAGAAAAATAAGCAGCACTTAATCGAAGAGCATTACAGGTTGAAGCCATCTGAGGCTCTCCCAGACCACTGCATTCTAGCCAACGTATCTGTAGAGTCCTTTTTAAATCCACATCTGCATCTTCATCTGGGGGCCCTCCAAATCATAACCACAGCCCACTCACATGGGAAGACCATTCTTTTTTTGCCTAAATATTCCAATGCCTTTGTACATTTCCCTGTATCTGTGAAATCCTTCTGGGTACCATTGAGTCTCTTTCTGGGGTTGGGGGGTGGGGCAGGTGGGCAAAGTCTACTAGAGGAATGTGAAGTAAATTCTGTTTTCTTTCTCCTAACAGTTAGTGATAATTTTCTCAGCAAGTGTGCCTTTGAGCATGGATGATGAGGAAGACAACTGAGTAACTTCAACAGCTGTTTTATGTGAGGACAATTCTATCTTGGAACTTCTTGCCAATGATCCAGGCTATTGTCACGTCATCTGCCATAGCCTGTGTCACATAATCTAATCTTTTTCACAAAGTGGCTGTCTTCAAAGAGCCTTTTAAAATAGCTTAATTCCAGGATGGGCACCCTTACAGAACTGAAGCACAGGTAACGATACCACAGATTTACAAACTCATCCACATACTAGTCACATGTTTTAAATAAAATGAAAAGACAAATACAGTGAGTTTTCACATTCAGGAGCAATAAACATTGTAATGGAAATATTTTATAAAAGAGACTGCAGATCTATTTTCCAATAAACAACAAGAGGTAGGAAAGAATCTTCTAGTACAGAGACTGACATGTAAAAATTACTCCTAGTATTATAGTAATAGTCACCAAAGTTTCCTTTGCTTAAAACAATAATAGAAGATTATGGCAGCTAAATCACTAATTGAGAATAGGTAAATCTATAGTAGTGTAAGGGCCAAGCCTATGAAGTCTCCCTGAAAAACCAACTCACTAAAGGCAGATGAGTGGAAGATAAGGCATACAAACATATTTAATGTGTATACACAGGATCCTTCAGAACAAAGACCCAAAGACAAGCAGAGATTGTCCATTTTTGTCCTTTAGTTTCAACAAAATATGAACAGCTGTATTAGTCTGTTTTCACACTAGTGTAAAGAACTGGGCAGTTCCAACATGGCTGAATAGGAACAGCTCCAGTCTACAGCTCCCAGCGTGAGTGATGCAGAAGATGGCTGATTTCTGCATTTCCAATTGAGGTACTGGGTTCATCTCACTGGGGCTCATTGGACAGTGGGGGCAGGACAGTGGGTGCAGTCCACTGAGTGAGAGCCAAAGCAGGGCGAGGCATCGCCTTACCCAGGAAGTGAAAGGGGTCAGGGAATTCCCTTTCCTAGCCAAGGGAAGGGGTGACAGATGGCACCGGGAAAATGGGGTCACTCCCACCCTAATACTGTGCTTTTCCAATGGTCTTAGCAAATGGCAAACCTGGAGATTATATCCTGCACCTGGCTCAGAGGGTCCCACGCCCATGGAGCCTCACTTATTGCTAGCACAGCAATCTGAGATCGAACTGCAAGGCGGCAGTGAGGCTGGGGGAGGGGTGCCCACCATTGCTGAGGCTTGAGTAGGTAAAGCAGCCAGGAAGCTCAAACTGGGTGGAGCCCACTGCAGCTCAAGGAGGCCTGCCTGCTTCTGTAGATTCCACCTCAGGGGACAGGGCATAGCCAAACAAAAGGCAGCAGAAACCTCTGCAGACTTAAATGTCCCTGTCTAACAGCTTTGAAGAGAGTAATGGTTCTCCCAGCATGGAGTTTGAGATCTGAGAACGGACAGACTGCCTCCTCAAGTGAGTCCCTGACCTCTGTGTAGCCTAACTGGGAGGCACCCTCTGGTAGGGGCAGACTGACACCTCACATGGCCTAGTTAGTACCCCTCTGAGATGAAGCTCCCAGAGGAACAATCAGCAACATTTGCTGTTCAGCAATATTCGCTGTTCTGCAGTCTCCATGGCTGATACCCAGGCAAACAGGGTCTGGAGTGGACCTCCAGCAAATTCCAACACACTTGCAGCTGACTGTTCTGACTGTTAGGAGGAAAACTAACAAACAGAAAGGACATCCACACCAAAACCCCACCTGTATGTCACCATCATCAAAGACCAAAAGTAGACAAAACCACAAAGATGGGGAAAAAACAGAGCAGAAAAGCTGAAAACTCTAAAAATCAGAACACCTCTCCCCCTCCAAAGCAATGCAGCTCCTCTCCAGCAATGGAACAAAGCTGGATGGAAAATGACTTTGATGAGTTGAGAGAAGAAGGGTTCAGACGATCAAACTTCTCCGAGCTAAAGGAGGAAGTTTGAACCTAACGCAAAGAAGTTAAAAACTTTGAAAAAAGATTAGACGAATAGCTAACTAGAATACCCAGTGTAGAGAAATCCTTAAATGACCTGATGGAGCTGAAAACCCTGGCACAAGAACTACGTGATGAATGCACAAGCTTCAGTAGCCAATTTGGTCAACTGGAAGAAAGGGTATCAGTGATTGAAGATCAAATGAATGAAATGAAGCAAGAAGAGAAGTTTAGAGAAAAAAGAGTAAAAAGAAACAAACAAAGCCTCCAAGGAATATGGGATTACGTGAAAAGACCAAATCTACGTCTGATTGGCGTACCTGAAAGTGACAGGGAGAATGGAACCAAGTTGGAAAACACTCTTCAGGATATTATCCAGGAGAAATTCCCCAACCTAGTAAGGCAGGCCAATCTTCAAATTCAGGAAATACAGAGAACACCACAAAGATACTCCTCAAGAAGAGCAACTCCAAGAAACATAATTGTCAGATTCTCAAAGTTGAAATGAGGGGAAAAATGTTAAGGGCAGCCAGAGAGAAAGGTCAGGTTACCCACAAAGGGAAACCCATCAGACTAACAGCTGATCTCTCAGCAGAAACTCTACAAGCCAGAAGAGAGTGGGGGCCAATATTCAACATTCTTAAAGAAAAGAATTTTCAACCCAGAATTTCATATCCAGCCAAACTAAGCTTCATAAGTGAAGGAGAAATAAAATACTTTACAGACAAGCAAGTGCTGAGAGATTTTGTCACCACCAGGCCTCCCTTACAAGAGCTCCTGAAGGAAGCACTAAACATGGAAAGGAACAACCAGTACCAGCCACTGCAAAAACATGACAAACTGTAAAGACCATCGATGCTAGGAAGAAACTGCATCAACTAACGGGCAAAATGATCAGCTAACATCATAATGACAGGATCAAATTCACACATAACAATATTAACCTTAAATGTAAATGGGCTAAATTCTCCAATTAAAAGACACAGACTGGCAAATTGGATAAAGAGTCAAGACCCATCAGTGTGCTGTATTCAGGAGACCCATCTCACGTGCAAAGACACACATAGGATCAAAATAAAGAGATGGAGGAAGATCTACCAAGCAAATGGAAAACAAAAAAAGGTAGGGGTTGCAATCCTAGTCTCTGATAAAACAGACTTTAAACCAACAAAGATCAAAAGAGACAAAGAAGGCCATTACATAATGGTAAAGGGATCAACTCAACAAGAAGGGCTAACTATTCTAAATATATATGCACCCAATACAGGAGCACCCAGATTCATAAAGCAAGTCCTTAGAGACCTACAAAGAGACTTAGACTCCCACACAATAATAATGGGAGACTTTAACACCCCACTGTCAACATTAGACAGATCAACTAGACAGAAAGTTAACAAGGATACCCAGGAATTGAACACAGCACTAAAACAAGTGGACCTAATAGACATCTAGAGAACTCTCCACCCCAAATCAACAGAATATACATTCTTCTCAGCACCACATCGCACTTATTCCAAAACTGACCACATAGTTGGAAGTAAAGCACTCCTCAGCAAATGTAAAATAACAGAAATTATAACAAACTCTCTCTCAGACCACAGTGCAATCAAACTAGAACTCAGGATTAAGAAACTCACTCAAAACCGCTCACTACATGGAAACTGAACAACCTGCTCCTGAATGACTACTGGGTACATAACAAAATGAAGGCAGAAATAAAGGTGTTCTTTGAAACCAATGAGAACAAAGACACAACATACCAGAATCTCTGGGACACATTTAAAGTGTGTGTAGAGGGAAATTTATAGCACTAAATGCCCACAAGAGAAAGCAGGAAAGATCTAAAATTGACACCGTAACATCACAATTAAAAGAACCAGAGAAGCAAGAGTAAACACATTCAAAAGCTAGCAGAAGGCAATAAATAACTATGATCAGAGAAGAACCGAAGGAGATAAAGACACAAAAAACACTTCAAAAAATCAATGAGTCCAGGAGCTGGTTTTTTGAAAAGATCAACAAAATTGATAGACTGCTAGCAAGACTAATAAAGAAGAAAAGAGAGAAGAATCAAATAGATGTAATAAAAAATGATAAAGGGGATATCACCACCAATCCCGCAGAAATACAAATTACCATCAGAGCATACTATAAACACCTCTATGCAAATAAACTAGAAAATCTAGAAGAAATGGATAAATTCCTCAACACATACACCCTCCCAAGACTAAACCAGGAAGAACTTGAATCCCTGAATAAACCAATAACAGGTTCTGAAATTGAGGCAATAATTAATAGCCTACCAACCAAAAAAAAGTCCAGACCATACGGATTCACAGTCAAATTCTACCAGAGGTACAAGGAGGAGCTGGTACCATTCCTTCTGAAACTATTCCAATCAATAGAAAAAGAGGGAATCTTTCCTAACTCATTTTATGAGGCCAGCATCATCCTGATACCAAAGCCTGGCAGAGACACAACAAAAAAAGAGAATTTTAGACCAATATCCCTGATGAACATCAATGCAAAAATCCTCAATAACATACTGGCAAACCGAATCCAGCAGCACATCAAAAAGCTTATCCACCATGATCAAGTGGGCTTCATCCCTGGGATGCAAGGCTGGTTCAACTTATGCAAATCAATAAACATAAACCAGCATATAAACAGAATCAATGACAAAAACCACATGTTATCTCAATAGATGCAGAAAAGGTCTTTGACAAAATTCAACAACGCTTCATGCTAAAAACTCTCAATAAGTTAGGTATTGATGGGACGTATCTCAAAATAATAAGAGCTATCTATGACAAACCCACAGCCAATATCATACTGAATGGGCAAAAACTGGAAGCATTCCCTTTGAAAACTGGCACAAGGCAAGGATGCCCTCTCTCACCACTCCTATTCAACGTAGTGTTGGAATTTCTGGCCAGGGGAATCAGGCAGGAGAAGGAAATAAAGGGTATTCAGTTAGGAAAAGAGGAAGTCAAATTGTCCCTGTTTGCAGATGAGATGATTGTATATCTAGAAAACCCCATCATCTCAGCCCAAAACCTCCTTAAGCTGATAGGCAACTTCAGCAAAGTCTCAGGATACAAAATCAATGTGCAAAAATCACAAGCATTCTTATACACCAATAACAGACAAACAGAGAGCCAAATCATGAGTGAACTCCCATTCACAATTGCTTCAAACAGAATAAAATACCTAGGAATCCAACTTACAAGGGATGTGAAGGACCTCTTCAAAGAGAACTACAACCCACTGCTCAATGAAATAAAAGAGGATACAAACAAATGGAAGAACATTCCATGCTCTTGGGTAGGAAGAATCAATATCGTGAAAATGGCCATAATGCCCAAGGTAATTTATAGATTCAATGCCATCCCCATCAAGCTACCAATGACTTTCTTCACAGAATTGGAAAAAACTACTTTAAAGTTCATATGGAACCAAAAAAGAGCCCTCATTGCCAAGTCAATCCTAAGCTAAAAGAACAAAGCTGGAGGCATCACGCTACCTGACTTCAAACTATACAAGTCTACACTAACCAAAACAGCATGGTACTGGTACCAAAACAGAGATATAGATCAATGGAACAGAACAGAGCCCTCAGAAATAATGCCATATATCTACAGCTATCTGATCTTTGACAAACCTGACAAAAACAAGCTATGGGGAAAGGATTCCCTATTTAATAAATGGTGCTGGGGAAACTGGCTGGCCATATGTAGAAAGCTGAAACTGGATCCCTTCCTTACACCTTATACAAAAATTAATTCAAGATGGATTAAAGACTTAAATATTAGACCTAAAACCATAAAAACCCTAGAAGAAAACCTAGGTATTACCATTCAGGACATAGGCATGGGCAAGGACTTCATGTCTAAAACACCAAAAGCAATGGCAACAAAAGCCAAAATTGACAAATGGGATCTAATTAAACTAAAGAGCTTCTGCACAGCCAAAGAAACTATCATCAGAGTGAACAGGCAACCTACAAAATGGGAGAAAATTTTTGCAACCTACTCATCTGACAAAGGGCTAATATCCAGGATCTACAATGAACTCAAACAAATTTACAAGAAAAAAACAAACAACCCCATCAAAAATTGGGTGAAGGATATGAACAGACACTTCTCAAAAGAAGACATTTATGCAGCCAAAAGACACATGAAAAAATGCTCGCCATCACTGACCATCAGAGAAATGCAAATCAAAACCACAATGAGATACCATCTCACACCATCTAGAATGGCAATCATTAAAAAGTCAGGAAACAACAGGTGCTGGAGAGGATGTGGAGAAATAGGAACACTTTTACACTGTTGGTGGGACTGTCAACTAGTTCAACCATTGTGGAAGTCAGTGTGGCAATTCCTCAGGGATCTAGAACTAGAAATACCATTTGACCCAGCCATCCCATTACTGGGTATATACCCAAAGAATTATAAATCATGCTGCTATAAAGACACATTCACACGTATGTTTATTGCGGCACTATTCACAATAGCAAAGACTTGGAACCAACCCAAATGTCCAACAACGATAGACTGGATTAAGAAAATGTGGCACATATACACCATGGAATACTATGCAGCCATAAAAAATGAAGAGTTCATGTCCTTTGTAGGGACATGGATGAAACTGGAAACCATCATTCTCAGCAAACTATTGCATGGGCAAAAAACCAAACACCTCATGTTCTCACTCATAGGTGGGAATTGAACAATGAGAACACATGGACACAGGAAGGGGAACATCACACTCCGGGGACTATTGTGGGGTGGGGGGAGGGGGGAGGGTTAGCACTGGAGATATACCTAATGCTAAATGACGAGTTAATGGGTACAGCACACCAACATGGCACATGTATACATATGTAACAAACCTGCACATTGTGCACATGTACCCTAAAACTGAAAGTATAATAATAATAAAATTAAAAAAAGCTCTAATCAACATTTAGCAGCTACATTTTTTTAAACTACAGCTACCAGGTAAAAAATATCGGTGATAACATATCACATTATAAGCATCATCTTTAAATGCTCTGTGATATTTCTCTGGGGTTTAAAATAGACTGGTTTTCTTAGAGAATGTCTGAAAAGGTTAAAGACTCTCTCAGGAAAAATACTTACAGATGCAGATTGTGTTAAACATAAAACTAAAAGCAGCACACTGCCTGGATTGAAGGTGGTTAAAGCTGGATCAACACCCTTCATAACTGAATTCAACAAATATATATTTTAAATGGGATCTAAATATCTTAGGTTTAAACAAGCATAATTGAAGATAGAATTTCAGGTAAATTAAAGAATCATGTGTAAAAAGTAAAAGCACCATAGCCAATTTCACAAGCACTGAAACTGGCAAAGAAAATTTATAATTATTTAAGTAATTTTAGAATGAGCAAGGAGTTTCTAAGCAGAAAAGTGGTAACAGAAAACATAAACAGAATTATTATTCTATTTCATTAAAAATTAAGCATTTCTATATACCAAAAACTTTCATAAGCAAATGTAGGTTACAAACTAAAAATTGGGCCATAATCATGGCAAATATAAAGAAAGGCTAACATTCTGGTAAATCAATTAAAAAATCACCAATACCTTAGGAGTAAAGGATATGGACCACTAATTCTCCTCACTCTATATTTGATTGAAATAGTATTATTTGGCCTTGTGCAAGCTCAGTTTCTTATTGGCTTTAAATAATCCCCGACCCCATCCCAATCTGAGCTGCAGCTACCAGAGCTCCATCCTCCTCACTACTGAATGGCAAAGCAATAGGCTTTTCTTCACACAGACCTGAAACAAACAAACAAACAAAGAAACAAGCAAAACCAATCAGAAAGATGGCTTAGGAACCTGCACATCTATTTATTTGATGCTTTGTTTCATGTCACATTATTAAAACTGATTTTGTAATCTTTTCATCTTCACAAATAATCTTGTTTCCTTTTTTAAAAAAAGACTTTAAAACATATATTGTCAGAGTTACATGTAGTGACTGATGGAAACCCATTATTTCCCTTGTAAGCATATATAACTGGGAAGCCGGTTACCTTTGGCCGACTAATCCACATCCTAAACTCTGGAATTGTGTAGTCTCTTCTTCCTGGTGCTATTCAGCTTCCATCTTAGTAACTTCACTATGCTACCAGACCCTTTAATCCTGCATAACTTAGCAGGCATGGATGAAAAGAAAGAAATCCATTCCCTTCATCAGATAATGTTACATGCCACTCTCTGTGATGGAGCAGCCTTGACCCATCTTAAGATTGTTTGGCTTCCTATTTTGTGGCAGACTCATCCAAATAAGACTGTTATTATTTATCCCATTTTCAGCATGATTTTTCTTCTCTTGTCAGCCATGGATCTGTTTCTAGCCTTTTCTCTCTCTACTTCCACGAAGCTGACTTGCTTGCAATTCTCTCTACAAAGTCAATGAAAATTGCATGCCCATAGCAGCAGTAGGGGGGCACAGAGCACCACAAGAAATCAGCAAAGAATATATAAGCACATTATCAATAACATCAGAACATTAATACCTTTTCTTGGCTAAGTGGTTTGCAAGAGCCTACTTAAAGTGATTATTTAAAAAAAAAAACTGTAGGTATAGCTTGTATACACTATGCTTTCTAAAATAATAATTATTTTTAATATTATAAAGACATGGAGAAAGACTATTTTCTTTCAGAGAACATTACCAGAATAAATTTCTTGTTGTTGTTTTAAGACTCAAGCTTAAACTACATAACATTCATTTGCATGCTCACACTAAGAAGCTGAATATGTAATACTAAAAGAGTAACCTCAAAAGACTTGTTAGACTCAATATAACTAGTTTCTGTCATTTAGAGTCCAGGCTTAACCATTCTTTCCTATGACATGTCTCTGGAAGATAAGATTGGTGGGTTCCAGCACAGAATTCATGACTCTAGGCTCCACTCAGAGTTCTTGAATTTTAGGTCCATAGCTAGGGGGTAAAAACCATGGGAACCAGGAGCCAGTCCATCTAAGTGTCTAAGCTGGTTCTGCCATTTACTAACTTTGTCACTATCAGCAAGTTATTTTTCTTTAGGCTCCTTTCCCTATCTCTAAAATGGAGATAATCATAGTGTTTACTTCCTGTGACTGTAACGAGGATTAAATGAGGGACTGTATATCCAAACACTGCAAACAGTGCCTGGCACGTGGTGAGGTCAATCATTATGGTCAATAATAATCTCATTATTATTTTCTCACTTTCCTATTGTCTAACTAGAGACTTTTTCCTTCAGGAGTTGTGTACAGTGGTGGAGGAGGAACTGTACCCTCCCTGTGAGTATCCAGTGGACTTCAGTGGACTTCAGTCCAAACATAACCGCAATTTCCGGTTTTATAGACCTGGTGGAAGCTTTCCAGTGTTCAGCTAAGAGTGTGGTCTCTCTCTGTTGCTGAGTTGATACTGCTGCTTCCCTCAGCAGCCAAGCCTTGCTCTCAAGGGTAGCCTACATGTTAGGGAATGGTTTTGCCCTCTAGGGACAATAGTTTATGCCACTGAAAAAACTGACTAGGCAAAGTGTTTAAGCAGCTTGTCTGAGGAAGCCTGTACCATAACAGTCAAAATTGCTATAACTATATAACTATAATTATATTCACCCTGTTCCAGGCACTTTGCTAAGTGCTTTACAAATATTCTCTTAATTAATCTTTTTCATAAGCCTTTGAGATGGATATTACTATTGTTGATATTTTATAGATGAGGAAACTAAGACAGAAAAATAACATAATTCTACCAAAAACAAACAGCTATTAGTTAAATGTCCAAACCAGGAAAAGAATTTAGATATAACTTTAAAATCAAGATTGTAAGGCCATACAACATTGAATGTGTATGATGGCGTTCCTATGGGCACAGTGTGTTTCTCCTCCACGATTTTCCATGAACACCAAATAGAAAGACATGCATACCTGAGAGGCTATTGGTTATTGACATTGTTTTCAGTTTCTTAAGATGTTCCTCCCAGAATTGTGGAATTTCTGGTTATGCACCTTCCCAGTTATATTTGATTCTGCCAAAATGCACTCCAAAGTGGCCGTATTAAATTCTAATTATATTAGCCATGTTTGGCAGTCACGGGAAAAAGAGAGACTGCTTGATATCTCTATATCTCTTTCTTTCCCATGAAAGTTCTTCCACAGCTTTTAACCAGTGTGTGTCCTTCTTTTGCTACATGGTTAATGCTTTTATCCTCAAGTTTCCGCCAACTCTTTCTCATCTGCAGAATTTATAACAGCACACATAAATAAAACTAATATTTCCTGAAAGATAGAAAAACAAACTAAGCTCCAAATTCATTTTCTTTCCCATAGGAATAATCAGGGTTTTATTATTATCTGTGTTAGGTGTTCTCATTAGATTACAAACTGAGAATGTAAAGTTCAAGAAAATAATAATGTCTGGAGAAACTTTATTATATTCTCCAGCCGTGTCCCAGGATATTTAATGAAACTTTTCAGTGCCTTGGAAACAGTAGGAATAAAATTATAACTTGAGTTACTTTTCTATCTTTTATTCTTTCTCTTCATTTCTATAGACCTCAGGGATAAGCAGTTGCCTTTGGTCAGAGGACTTTTGTGTTATCATTGCAACTTTTTCATTTTGACTTCTTCTTAAGGGTGGGATTTAAGATCCAAACAGTAACTAAGAAACAGGAGAGAAAGTGTATATATTTTCATGGGGAACACTTACTTTCCTTATTACATGCTGTGTATTTTACTCTTTCTACTTCTGCATTTTCCAATTTCCAGCTTCATTCCACAAATGGCTTTGAGGTTGCTTCTGTTTAATTCTGGAGTTTAAACCTCTGCCACTATTCTCCTCCACAGAAAATAGATGAAGAAAGTAGTTCAAAAACTACACCCGCACTCAATATGTGTTGTGATTAAAATACTGTCTGATTCTCTGACTGGAGTGTGTGTGTGTCCTTGGAGGGAGTTGGACGTGTGCCAGGAGGAAGTGCACGTACCCACTGATGGTCTGAAAAGACTGCTTCAACTCTGGGGCCGAAAACAGCAAACTCAAAAGGAAGGTTGGAGTCAATGGGTCCTGACACTAATGGGACAATTCTCCAGGTAGGCTGCTTTTCCTCCTGTTCTGTTGCTGGACAGACTCTTGCTACCAGCCCATCTCCATGACCCACACCATTCTCCATGTCTCCTTCCTCCTCCTTTCTTCTTCTTCTTCTTTTTTTTTTTTTTTTAAATGCAGGTATCTTCTACCAGCAACCATGCTTTCCTGCTGTGATGATGCGTAGGGTGTGCAAGTCTGTTGAGAAGGACATGTGACAAGGCATTCTTACACCAAAGCTGTGGTCTGCACTATCCAGATAATATAAAATTATGTGACCAGTTAGGAAGTAAACATAGAAAAACTTCACATTGAATATGTTTTATCTTTTTCAAAGAATTTTCCTTTGGAAGATCTCAGATGCTTTCAAAATGTGAAGCCAAATACTGTGGAAACCTAAAGCACATTCTTGTGATTATTCTCACACAGAAAATTGACATCCTTCAAAGGCAGGAGTTTTTGGAAATAGCTAAATCCATTTAGAGTCATGCACAATGATCAAGGTGTGTAATTCTGTAAGGAATCAAAAATGAGGAACTAATTCCAAGAAACAAAACTGTTTTCAGACTGGGGGTATACAATGAGCATAAAAGAAGATAGAGTTATTTCCATCTTCATGGGACGTGAACCAACCATTTGGGTGGGGTGTGTGTGTGTGTGCATGAATGTGTATAAAACGAATGGGTGGAAACATGTAGATGGCTCACTGTGGTCATTCAATATGTTTTCTAGAGGACATCTTGATCAGTCCCCTCCTCTCATGTTTTAGCGACATGGTACAAGGCTTTCTCCTCCCCAGTAGTGTAGGTTCCTAGAGAGGATGCTTCTCTAATTTGCCATCACTATACCCTCTCTTTGGCTCACTGCAGTACCTCATGCACCAGGGCTACTGGGTGAGTATTTATCTAAATGATGAATTAAATGAATGTGTGGTGGGTTCTTGTTTTCCTGACTATAGCTCCATGCTCCTGAGTATATTTCTTTTTCATTAAGTTTGATGACCTCAAGTGATGATTTTTTGTATTTCCTACCCTATATGTGTGTACCTACCCTATAGGTATGTTTCACGCCCCGTGTTTTCCTGTGCTGAACTGTTTGACCTCCATGCTCTTGAGTCAACTCTCCAGAGAACATAGCAGAAATATCTCAATGAACTTTCCCTCTTTTATATATTACAACCATTCTGAAGAAAAACAAATAGAATTTCGTGACTGACTGGATACAAGGAATGACCTTGCACATCTTATATCTTGTAGAGCAGTTGATGTCTTCATCATTCTTTGTGTAATTTATCATGTACTACCTTAGTGTGACTATGCAAGTAGGCAGAAAAGGCTGTCCTAACTTCATGATCTCCAACCTGTCATTTCCTGGTCAAGCCTTTCCCTATATTCTATTCTAGAGGGCATTATAGAATAATGGGTAAAAGCACTAGCTTTGAAATTAGAAAAAAAAAAAAGTTGTGGTCTTAGATCTATCTCTCACTAATCAGCAAGTTTTTTTTTTTTTGTTTTGTTTTGTTTTTTTGTCTAATTAAGCTTCAGTGTCTCTTCCTAAACTTGATGTAAGAATATCTACCTCTCAGGGATGGTCTAGGTTTCAAATAAAATAATGCCTATAAAAGGCTTTTTTGGGTATCTGGCACCTTATACACTCAATAGCTCAACACATTACTTCATTTTAATTATAACTATTTTTCTGTAAAGCAAGCAATTCAAATCTTATCCATTATTTTCAAACTTCTCTCCCTGAGAAAACAACCTTATTGATCAAGAAAAGTAGAAGGCTTTATAAAAAAAATTTCCAAATTTCTGTTCACATTTCCTTAACAATTATTTTTACTCACACAATTATTCCTCTCTCCCTCCTGTTCTCAGGGAGGTGTGTCTACTATTTTGTAAGTACTTGACCTCTGAATTCCTTTCTTGCTGTCTTCTCAGAAACTTCTTTATATTGTCCTTTCTCTCTTCTTTCTATTTTCATTTAAACACATACTGTATTTTCTGACTTAAAAGTTCTTGTTTTGATCCTTCCTTCCTCTTGATCTATCTCTTACTTCACAGCTGAACATTTAGGTGGAGTTGCCTGAGCTTGATTCTCCTCATTCCACCTGCACCACAGCCCATTACCTCCTGCCTTATCACTGCCTTGAAGCTGCTATTACCCACACCACTGAAGACCTTCCTGGCTATAGGAAACTGCCACAAAGTAAGAGCACCAGCTGTGGAGCCAGCTACTTGGATCGGAACTCTGCCTTCAACACTTGCTAGCTCTGTCACCTTGGAAGGGTGACAAACTCTCTATACCTTAGTGTCCTGGTCCATAAAATGGGAATAAAATTACCTCCTATGTTTGTTCTGAAGATGACTGAGTAAATAAGTATAAAGTACTGCTCATGGGTCAGCAAACTTTGGCCAGCCTGTTGCCTGCTTTTGTAAATAAAGTTTTATTGGGATACAGCAGAACTCGCTCCTGTATGCATTCCCAGTGGCTTCTTCTGCACTCTAAGGGCAGAGGTGGGCAGCTGTGACACAGATGACATGCCCACAAAGCCCAATATATTTGCTAGCTGGCTCTTTATGGAAAAGTCTGCTGAACCCTGGCTTAGAACAAAGCCTGGCATATGATAAGCACTAAAGAATGTTAGAGAGTATTAGAACTCGAGCTTTAATACTACTTGCCACACTTGGCCACTTCTTTCGTCTGCCATGATACCCTGATTTTTTTGGCATTTTCATTTCCTCCTTTATCTGATCTTTTTAGCTTTCTAAGGGACTTATTTTCCTCTTTTCTTTGAGAGATCTTACTGTTTCTTGGCTCCTTGATCACTCTTCCTATAGGCTTGGTTTCACTGTCCTTATGGAATTTGTTCATTCTATTCCTGCCCAATGTCAACTATGCTCATGAATTTGAGTGTCTCTATGCTGAATATTGCCAGATCTCTGTCTCCAGTACAAATCTTTCTCTTGGCCTTTAGAACTGTTTATCCAAATTGGTTTTCTCCACTTGGATCAACTAAAAACACTTTCACATTTTATACGTCCAAAACTTAACCCATAATATTCTTCCTTAACTTGTTCCTCCACTCACCCTAGTGAATGGCTGCTGCATACTCCGTTGTGTACCTCCAGCCATTTTATGACATTGCATGGAGAGTGTTATTTTTCAAGCGTGACTCTGCCTGTAGCATTCCTGTGACTCCCCATAACTCTTAGGATACAAATAAAAATTGCTTTAGCACTTTTTTTTTTTGAGACGGAGTCTTGCTTTATTGCCCAGGCTTGAGTGCAGTGGTGTGATCTCGCCTCACTGCAACTTCCGCCTCCCAGGTTCAAGCAATTATCCTGTCTCAGCCTCCTGAGTAGCTGGGACTACAGGCGCCCGCCACCATGCCCAGCTAATTTCTGTATTCTTAGTGGAGATGGGGTTTCACCATATTGGTCAGGCAGGTCTTGAACTCCTGACCTCTGGTGATCCACTTGCCTCGGCCTCCCAAAGTGCTGGGATTACAGGCGTGAGCCACTGCACCCAGCCGCTTTAGCATTATTAATTTCCAGCATCCTTCTTCTTTTTTGGAATCCCAGTCACAGTGAGACTTGAAAATGTCATTTTTCCTTTTGCTTCTGGAACACATACACACACACACACACACAAACACACACACACACACACACACACACACACACAGCTGCCTCTGTCCTTGCTTCCACAGACAGCCTTCCTCCCACCATCCATCCAATACATATAGTTGGACTAAAGATCTTCAAGATAGTCAATGTTCTTATTTCCTTATTAACAGAACCCCCGATTTTGTTTCTGGTTGCAAAATACCCAACTCAAAACAAAACAAAATAACAAGCAAAAATTAGGAGTGGCTATGTAATATATATATAAGGCATTGGCTTATGATTTCCATGAAAGTTTTGTTTTCCTGATATAGCTGTCACGCTGCTGCTTCTTGCCTGGAATACAGACAAAATGCTTGCAGCTGTGGCAGCCATCTCAACTCTCAGAGAACTGGAGTTATAGTAAAGGTTTCGTCGTTATTGCCAGTCTTACTGCCAAATCGTTCTTTACCAGCACATTAAGAATGTTGTTGACTAGGAAATGCTTCTATTAGGTTGGTGAAAAAGTAATCATGGTTTTTTTTTGGTTTGTTTTTTTTTTGAGATGGAGTCTTGCTCTGTCGCCCAGACTGGAGTGCAGTGGCACGATCTCAGCTCACTGCAAGCTCTGCCTCCAAGGTTCACACCATTCTCCTGCCTCAGCCTCCCGAGTAGCTGGCACCACAGGCACCTGCCACCATGCCCGGCTAATTTTTTGTATTTTTAGTAGAGACGGGGTTTCACCTTGTTAGCCAGGACGATCTGGATCTCCTGACCTCGTGATCCGCCTGCCTTGGCCTCCCAAAGTGCTGGGATTACAGTTGTGAACCACCGCACCCGGCCGGTTTTTTTCCATTGAAAGTAATGGCAAAAAAGTGATTACTTTTGCTCCAACCTAATAGTAGGGAGTGTTCAATAAGGGTATTAAAATATTTGCTCATTACTTTCTAAAGGATTCTGGGTTTCACATGGGAACATCTTCCTTCGGACGCACACACAGCAACAACAATAACAACTAAGTACAATAAGAAGCATGTTATTTTAAAGAATTGTTGGGCACCCTTGTCTCGTGCTGGTTTTCAAAGGGACTGCTTCCAGCTTTTGCCCATTTGGTATGATATTGGCTTTGGGTTTGTCCTAAATAGTTCTTATTATTTTGGGGTATGTTCCATGAATACCTAGTTTATTGAGAGTTTCTAACATGAAGGGATGTTGACTTTTATCAAAGGCCTTATCTGCATCTATTGAGATAATCATGTGATTTTTATCATTGGTTCTGTTTATATGATGGACTACATTTATTGATTTGCGTATATTGAACCAGCCTTGCATCCCAGGGATGAAGCTGACTTGATTGTAATGGATAAGCTTTTTGATGTGCTGCTGGATTCCCTCTCTCACTGCTCCTATTCAATATAGTATTGGAAGTTCTGGCCAGGACAATCAGGCAAAAGAAAAGAATAAAGGATATTCAAATAGGAAGAGAGAAAGTCAAATTGTTTGTTTGCAGAAGACATGATGGTATATTTATTAAACCACATTGTCTCAGCCCAAAAACTCCTTAAGCTGATAGTCAAATTCAGCATAGTATCAGGATACAACATCAATGTGCAAAAATCACAAGCATTTCTATACACCAACAATAGATAAGCAGAGAACCAAATGATGAATCAACTCCCATTCACAATTGCTACAAAGACAATATAATACCTAGGAATACAGCTAACAAGGGATGTGAAGGAACTCTTCTAGGAGAACCACAAACCACTGCTCAAGGAAATCAGAGAGGACACAAGCAAATGGAAAAACATTCTATCCCCATGGATAGGAAGCATCAATATCACGAAAATGTGCATACTGTCCAAAGTAATATATAGCTTTAATGCTACTCCCATCAGACTACCATTGACATTCTTCTCAGAATTAGAAAAAATTACTTTAAATTTTATATGAAACCCAAAAGAACCTGTATAGCCAAGACAATCCTAAGCAAAAGGAACAAAGCTGGAGG
This sequence comes from Homo sapiens, assembly GCF_000001405.40. Taxonomy (NCBI): domain Eukaryota; kingdom Metazoa; phylum Chordata; class Mammalia; order Primates; family Hominidae; genus Homo; species Homo sapiens. The sequence continues at coordinate 103,216,486 of NC_000002.12, forward strand.
CTTCATGCTACCTGACTTCAAACTACACCACAAGTCTACAGTAACCAAAACAGCATGGTACTGGTACCAAATCAGACATGTAGACCAATGGGACAGAACAGAGACTTTGGAAACAACACCACACATCTACAACCATCTGATCTTCAAAAAATCTGACAAAAACAACAATGGGGAAAGGATTCTGTGTTTAATAAATGGTGTTGGGAAAACTGGCTAGCCGTATGCAGAAAACTGAAACTGGACCCCTTCCTTACACCTTATACAAAAATTAACTCAAGATAGATTAAAGACTTAAACATAAGACCTAAAACCATAAAAACCCTAGAAGAAAACCTATGCAAGACCATTCAGGACATAGGCATGGGCAAAGACTTCATGACTGAAACACCAAAAGCAATGGCAACAAAGTCAAAATTGACAAATGGGATCTAATTAAATGAAAGAGCTTCGGCACAGCAAAAGAAACTATCATCAGAGTTAACAAGCAGCCTAGAGAAAGGGACAACATTTTTGCAATCTAACCAGCTGACAAAGGTCTAATATCCAGAATCTACAAAGAACTTAAACAAATTTTTAGGAAAAAACAAACAATACCATCGAAAAGTGGGCAAAGGACATGAACAGACACTTCTGTCACATTTATGTGGCCAACAAACATATGAAAAAAGCTTAACATCACTGATCATTACAGAAATGCAAATCAAAACCACAATGTGACACCATTTCGCCCGTCAGAATGGCCATTATTAAATAGTCAAGAAACAATAGATGCTGGCAAGTCTTTGGAGAAATAGGAACACTTATACACAGTTGCTGGAAATGTAAATTAGTTCGACCATTGTCGAAAACAGTGTGGCAATTCCTCAAGGATTTAAAACCAGAAATACCATTTGACCCGACAATCCCATTACTGGGTATATACCCAAAGGAATATAAATAATTATACTATAAAGACACATGCACACATATGTTCATTGCAACAGTGTTTACAATAGCAAAGACATGGAACCGACCCAAATGCCTATCAATGATAAACTGGATAAAGAAAATGTGGGACATATATGCCGTGGAATACTATGCAACTGTAAAAATGAATGAGATCATGTCCTTTGCAGGGACATGGATGAAGCTGGAAGCCATCATCCTCAGCAAACTGACACAGCAACAAAAAGACCAAACACTGCATGTTGTCACTCATAAGTGGGAGTTGAATAATGAGAACACATGGACACAGAGAGGGAAACAACACACACTGGGGCCTGTCAGGGGGTGGGGGGCAAGGGGAGTAAGAGCATCAGGACAAACAGCTAATGCATGCAGGGCTTAAAATCTAGATGACGGGTTGATAGTTGCAGCAAACCGCCATGGCACGTGTATACTTATTAACAAATCTGTAATTTCTGCACATGTATACTGGAACTTAAAGTAAAAGTTTAAAAAAGGAACTGTTGGTACCCTCTTACCCACTATTTGTTTTTTATACCAGAGATTAGCAATATTTAATCTCATTAGCAGATATGATAATGGCAATAATTGCTTTTTATTAATCATCATTTTATATACATCATATTTAATTATTGCAGTAATCTTAAATAGTAGGTATCATTATCTCCATTTGACAGATAAAGAGACTGAGATTAAAAGAAGTAAAATTGTATGTCCAAGTGTGTTTAATTTGTAACTACCAGAATCAGAATTACTGACTAAAAACTTCTGCCCCTGAAACCTGTGGCATTAGCTGTGTTCCTTCATTGGCGTCCAAGCTTGTCACAGAACACATTGGCAAGCCTAGGTATTCTCTTATTTTGCATGTCTTGCCTTCAGTCCTCGTGTGGTAAACAATGTTTTTCTAAATGTTACATTTTTCACTTCTGGGTCTAGCACATGCCTGGTAAATAAAAACTTATTGATTCATTTGTTCTAGAGCAAGAATATCTCCTCCACCACTCTTTGTACCTACCCCAATATGTGTGGAACATGGCCTTGTATTATAAAACACTTGTATTCATTGGCTTTTGGCAACACCACTAAATCACTCCCTCTCTCTTGCATTCTGTTCAGCTTGTAGATTTTCTTCTTCTTTTTTTTGGCTGAATCAACATGTGAACCTCATTTTGTAGGATTTGTTAAAAATATAATTAAAATGTTGTAGAAAGGTTTTGGCCAAATTGGCCTGGATCCTAGAACCCACTCTAAGCAAAACCTCAAGGAATATATGTTCATAGAAAAGGTTTGCTCTCTGGGATTCCCTCCCACTTGTGTTAACCTGATATTTTGCTTATTCTGCTATGAAATTCCTCAGAGAAGTGAAACAGTAGCTTGCCTCATTAAGACTCATCATTTACAAGATGTTGACAAATGTTGGCATTTATCCTGTTAACATAATAAATGTGAGAAAAATGACCATTTGGCATAGATAGTTCCATGCAAAATGCAAGCATGGTTAAGAATTAGGATGATTTGTTATGTCTAAGCAGCATCGTTCAGTGCTACATATTGGGGTAAATATGTTTTGGAAATAATTATTTCTTCTTTGCCCCACAAATATAATTTTTCTTTTTTTGGCCGTGAGCAGGCAAAGTAGTTCAAGATATAATTAAAAGTAGAATCCAGAAAAACAGCTATATAAATCTCATTTGTTTATTTTTTTTTACTTTAATAAACTTGAATTTTTCTCCCTTTTGGAACCAAGCTATTATTTTTGCTTAATGTTTTAATGCTTGGTTATGATTTTCATACCATATGTCGTTATCTGACACACGTTTTTGTGCTTCAACGTTATAATCCTTTAATTTTAAAGCAAAATAAATGACAGAAAAGTAAGTATGGGAAAAAAAAAGCAACTTAGGAATAACTGGTTCGACTTTTTTTAATGGAAAGGATTGAACCTCTAGTAGTGAAAATATGTTGAGAATTTCATTTATTTAGATTTAAAGAACTTGAATTTGACAACAAGCTTCTAGGGTTGTGTATATGCTTATACACACATATACACACACATATTAGGAAACAGAAAAGTAGCCCCTGACCTCCAGAAGCTGGCCCAGCACGCAAAGCCAGGCTTCAGTGTTCTGTGGAACAAGATTTCAGAAAACATCAACACCAGACAAGACTATTCCATGATAGATCAGTACAAACACTAGACAACTGCAGCATCATGGTTGAACACAGACAACATCATAAACATTGTCTAAACCACAGTAATGACCAAGCACCCCCTTATCCTGGCTTGTATGAGTGACTACTGCTTCTTGAGTAATTAGGTGCACTTTGCCTTTATTTAGTTTTCCCTCTTTCTACAAAAGATCTGTTAAGATACTCAATCACACAATTACACTGGCTTCCTGATAGCACCCAATCCACACCCAAGCCCCACTTCCTGGAACTCACCCCAATGTCACCTAATCTGAACTTGAATTCTCTCTTTTTTAAAAACCTTTAAGTTCAGGGGTACATATGCAGATTTGTTATACAGGTAAACTTGTGTCATGGGGGCTTATTGTGCAGAGTATTTCATCACCCAGGTATTAAGCCTAGTACCCATTAGTTGTTTTTCCTGATCTTCTCCCTCCTCCCACCCTCCACCCTCTAAAAGGCCCCAGCGGGTGTTGTTCCCTCTATGTGTCCATGTATTCTCATCATTTGGCTCCCCAAACTGCTTCTCCAAGAAATCAGAGATGACACAAACAAGTGGAAAAACATTCCACACTCATGGATAGGAAGACTCAATATTGATAAAATGGCCAATTTATAGATTCAATTTATAGATTTATAGATTCAGTGCTATTCCCATTAAACTTCCATTGACATATAACCCTTTTCTAATACCCAACTACTGAGACATCCCATGGTTCTGTGCAACCATGGTTCTGAGCAACAGATCCAAATTGTCAAATATAGGTAGGTGTTCTCTAGGTGGTCTTGGACTGTAGTGCATTAATAATATATAAATGATAATATAATCATATTACTTAGAAACAGAGGCAATCATATAAGAACCACTTTAAAAATAAATGTATATATTTGAAAATCTTTCTTCCTCCAAATTTCTTCAATCTGTTTTTGTAATTCCTCAATGAGGCAAGTATTGATATAATAGTTTAACATACAGATTAAGATGAAAACAGTTAAGGGACTTAGTAGTTCACATTTAAAAGTAGCAAAGTCTCAGTGTGAATCCAGGTTTTCCGACTCCTCCCTCCAACCTTCATCTTAACATGCAGAAATTTATCAAGCACTATCCAGTTACTTAAAGCTTGTTGAACACTATCTATTTATATGTCTATGTTTCTAGTAGATTAGATAGAAGCTCCCACAAGGCAGGGGCTAAGTCCAGCAGATTTGCATTTGACTATTCCTAAGGCATATATAAGGTACTCAATTACTTTTTGCTGAACTCAAGCAAGGAATGAGTCAGAGATGGAAGCTATTCCTACTGGCAAAAGGAACAAAGTTCTAAGAGATCTAGAAAAACAGATTCTTCTCAAGTTCAGATCAGAAAGCAATTGTATTAGCAAATTTCTGTGTCCTAGTAACTATTCAGAGACAGAATCATTGTTCCTGTGGGGGAACTTGAACCAGTTAGAAAGGGTTCTACTCACAAGCTGAAATTCCAAGGCCAGACAGGTGGGCTACCAAAACAGAAGGTTTGAAACAGGGGTGCAATGGTGACTTACACAAAATCTTCTAACATCTGACTTCTCAGATGTAAAAAAAAAAATGAAGAAAATTCAAAAATAGAGAAAAATCAGTACTGAAAATTAGGGGACGGGTGTAATCCAAATGCACGCTACATTGAAAATGCCTGTTAGACTGAAGTGGTGAGATTAAAGAAAGATATGAAACCAATTTATCACTTCCCTCCCTATTAAAATAACAACCCCAGTGAGAAATACAAAGAGGGTGCTTGGGACTCCAGGCACATAGCTTAGTTTGGAGGGGCAAGGATGGATGAGAAACACATTTTAGGATAAACAAGGAAATGTCCACACATAAATACTGGTGATGTCTCTGACACAGTGATCAGAATGGTAAGGACACATATATCTTTAGGATCATGTATCAGTGTAGAATTACTGTTAAGATAGCTTAGGGAAAATATACTTACACTATGATCATCAATATTTAAATATACAGACAGCTAAGAACAAAATAAATAGACATAATAATAGTGCTTAGATTTGGCTGATAGTGATATAAGAAAATATGCGATAAGTATGACATAAATTAAAGTGTCACAAAAATCCTATGAATAATTCCAGTCCAGGCATTACTGCCTTCTTCTAAAATGTAACCTCTGCCCCAACTCCTGCCTGCCAGAGGCAGGGTGAGCCCCAGAAAGTGAGCTGGAGGCAGATCAGTGGCTGGGTTCACCAGGGCTTCTTTTTTGACTTCACTCCAGCCTGCCTTCCTCTCCCCTCTCCACTTTGCTTGATCCTCTGCAGGCTTAGACTTAGAGCATCTCTGTCAACCTATGTCTTTTCTTCCTGCCCACCTCTGTCTTCTGGCTGACAGCTTGCCTCATCTGTGAAGCTGAGGTAGCTGTCCCTTGGCTCATCCTTGGAAAGCCATCTGGGGAAGGACTGCTGCTCGCTATCTAAGCCTGGATTCTTCCCCTTCCACATTCATCCCGGCAGGTTGGGACAAAGTCACTTGCATTAGAAAAGGAATGAGATTGCCTGCTGGTCTCAAATATGGAGTAATTACATCACATTTCTAAAAGATGTGTAAATCCCATTGAGATAGATATGCCACCTAAATGTAGACATATAAGTCATTTCATGGTACTATTCCAAGAAGTTCTTAAATTTATAACATTTTCAAAATTGAGATAATCTCACAGTACCTGAATATTATTATGATTCAAGTTTTAAAACATGGATGTACGCTTTTGGATATAATAAAGAATATACAGAAAATCACTATCAGAAAGACATATAAAAGGATTTTTTTAACTATTAATGTCCCTTATAATAAAACATGTGACAGATTAAAATACAGTAGTTGTATACGAATACGTGATTTCTTTTAAATTAGAAACTATTTAACTATTTGACCTAAAAATTTGAAGCAACATAGCAACAGGCCTAATATGACTTAGCTGTGCTACCACCCAAATCTCATCTTGAATTGTAGTTCCCATAATCCCCATGTGTCCTGGAAGGGGGAGCGGGACTAAATTACCCAGTGGGAGTTAATGTTTTTTGATTATGGGGGTGGCTACCCTCATGCTGTTCTTGTGATAGTGAGTGCGTTCCCATGAAATCTGATGCAGGAAAGGGGCTTTCCCCCTTTGCTGGGCACTTCTCCCTGCTGCCATGTGAAGAAGAACATGTTTGCTTCCCCTTCGGCCATAATTGTAGGTTCCCTGAGGCCTCCCAGTCATACAGAACTGTGAGTCAATTAAACGTCTTTTCTTTATAAATTATCCAGTCTCTGCCAGTTCTTTATAGCAGCATGAGAATGGATTAATGCAAGTCCCATTCAATGTTAATCTCACTGTGTTTTAGCATGCCTATGGTTAGACTTTAAAAATACTCCACTACCATCACCATTTAAATGATGTTACTATTGTCCAGGATGTATACAAGTTTTGTCAATAATACTTTTACTTGCCATCCACACTTGCAATTTATTCTCAAATATAATTAGTGATGCAATATATTAGAAGCAATTAAATAATGCTTACTCATCAAATCATATTATATACAACAGGGTTTTAGAGTAAATGGAAGAGTTACTTGAATCTAGGCTTTTTATGATATCCAAATGTGCTATTTTTATGGTGCTTTCAGCCACTCCAGCAAGCAGATACAAAGAACCACAATACTGATAATCATTGTGAGTAATGAATTCATTTATCCATTCAGTACTTCATTTCCCTGGCAAGTATGTGGGTATACTTGCCCACTGCAAGGTACTTCGCTAGGTGTTGTCAGTAGATCAAAGAAATGTATATGTCCTGTTCTCAAAGACTAAATGATGCGACACTCAGGAAGCAGACCATTGGCATGCTCATAGTAAGCATTCATGGCTTAGTCCGTGAAGGTCTGAGGCATTTGGGAATTTTTACTCTCTTCGAGGATAAATTTGGGTCTTCTGATGGCAGAGCAGAGCAAGAAACCAGTCACTTAGCAAGGACCTGAGCTGATTAGCCCATTAGTTGCTATTATTCTCCTCAAGATCACATCTTCTTTCATTAAAGTCATCCAAGGTTACCATTCAATAAACTTAATAAGAAATATGAGGCCGGGTGCAGTGGCTCATGCCTGTAATTCCAGCATTTTTGGAGGGCGAGGCAGGCAGATCACCTGAGGTCAGGAGTTCAAAACCAGTCTGGCCAACGTGGTGAAACCCCCTCTCTACTAAAAACACAAAAATTAGCCGGGAGTGGTGCCGTGTGCCTGTAATCCCAGTTAATTGGGAGGCCGAGGCAGGAGAATTGCTTGAACTCGGGAGGCAGAGGTTGTTGCAGTGAGCCAGTATTGTGCCATTGCACTCCTGTCTGGGTGACAGAGCAAGACTCCATCGCCCCCCCGCCCCAAAAAAAAAGAAAGAAGTATAAAAAAACTGTGGCATTCTCAACAACATGAGGCACTTGGGCTTTACGCGGGCTCGTCTGTTAGGAGGAGGCCGGGGGGCTTCAAATATTCCACAGTGAACCCTATGGGCTCCACTGTCTTCAGACCTGGAGTCTCTTTCTTAGCTACAGAGTGAGGGAAACTCACTCCTTCCAAGATCATCTGCTGCCTCAAACACTGGCCAGTGCACTTCAGGTCATTGCCCTTCTGGTGATGTTCTGGAGTTTAATAGGTTGTGTGGCTATCTTGAAGAGATTTCTAGGATTCAGGGTCTACATGGCTAACTACGGAGCTGACCAAGACCAATGGCTGTCTAGTAATGGATCCAGCCTCCTTAGTCACTTTCTCTCTAAGAGGTCTAGGCTTCTTTCTTTTTCTTAGCTGCCACCTGAAGGTGTCAGCTCTGGCCTTTTATGTCTGGATTTTCTGGCATAAACAGCCACTCATAGGAGAGTCTTTCAAGTTAATATAGCCTGTAGTCAATCTGTTTATTCAGAGGGAATATGAAGGAAATTTTGTGGCACAGTAGGCTCCACTTCTCTTCATTCTAGAAAGGGTCCATTTGAAGAGGAGATAGAAGTTTGAGACAGTTCTCACCTCAGCAAATATTTTCACTGGCCTTTCTATGGGGATTATATAAAAACAAATCCCAAAACACTTTTTATATTATTTTGAACATGTTTAAGTGCAGTTTCACTAGAAATTAATATTTCTAGAAATCTAGCTTTGAGTACTATCATCAAAGTTTAACCCAAAGGATTTTAGAGAGCTGTTGGCTGGAATAATCCATTTATATCCACGAGAATAAATCTTCGAATATAATTTAGCTCCTGATTGAATCTTTCTTCTGTGAACTTATCTCAGGATGCATTTGAGTTTTATTTTGGAAAACAATCTTTAAATAAATCTGAACAGGTAATACAAAATGATGGAAAGTACATTTGTGACAGCAATAGGGAATGTAGAGTTTCTCATCCTCAAGAAATACAGGCCTTAGATTTGCATTGGAGAAATGATCTAGTTTCAGAGGTAAGGTGTTATGGAAATTGACACGTGAATATTTGCAAATTTGAAGCTTTGCGGAATAAAGTCACTTTGTTTATATACTCTGATATAAATTCCTATTTTCTTTCATGCTTTTGTTTGCATTCAGGAGACTGCCAACTTCAAATAAAAGACTAGCTACAGTATTAGATTGTCTGATCTAACTCTAACATAGGAAAAATTGACAACCATGGTTTCAGAAAGTTCATTTTCTGCCTTTAGCCATAGAGAACAAGGCACCCTCCTGTAGTCAAATATACACAAACACTTAACATCAGGTCTTTACACTATTTCCAGAATTAATGCTACTGTGTATTTTCAGGTGAAGTTCATTTTGTGAGTAAAATGAAGGCATATTGGAAATAAGAACTTGCATGATGATAGAAATTATAAAATTATTCTAGTGCAGCATCCCTCCTGCTCTACTTTAACATAATATTTCGTAAAAAAAATTGATTTCTATTAAAGTAAAATCCAGAAAAAAATGGTTAGGTTTTCTGTTGACTGGCATACTTGTAGACCTCTTTGGTGACCTAAATTTGAACAAGGCTGGATTCTAATGGCTTAGTATGTTCCCCATTAAATATAAGAAAATCCAGTTAATTAATTAGCCCTTGGTGTTAAATGAGTTTTTTAAGCCTGAGAGATGAGGGGAACGTGGGATTTGTGGTGACTTGAGAGTGAACATTAATGATGTTGAACCCAGAGTGACTGTTAATATGGGCCACCTTGCAGCTGGGAGTCCAGTGACAGCGGGTGGGCAGGAGCTGCAGCAAAAGCTCACAGAGGGAGACAAGTGTTCACTTATCACAGATGCTGCCAAAGTCCCGTTTTCTTTCATCTTCGACTATATTATATTGCGTTCCACTGTTTTATTGTTTCCCCAGATATATTTTTAAAGTAGCAGGACAATCATTTAGTGTTAACATAGCATGCAACATGCTCATGTCAGTTTTTGCTTAATCAAAACCTAGACTAATCATGGCCCATTCCAGATGGAGAACAGGTATGTGTTTTCTATACAGTCCTAGGTCACCAGAAAGACAAATTTCTTAGTACATTTACTAATTTACTATATTTACCTACTTGGTAAGTTTACTAATTCTTTAGTAAAACCGTAAGAAGCATAACGGGGTGATGGATTTGGAACATGATTTATTTATATTTATGTTCTAGTTATCACAAGAGAAACAACACTTCATTATTGGGGAAATACTCGATTTGTGTTTTAAGAGCTAACTTACTAGGAAGAAATAACGCATTTTAGTTCCAATTACCATTCTCAGCTTTTACTTATTATGACTGTTATGTTATTCCTTTATAATGACATAGGTGAAAATTCAGAATCCATTCATTCAGCAAGCATATTAGATGCTTATTCAGGTTTTATGTTAATCTTTGTCATGCAATTTTCCCCTGAATTTATTGGGCAAGATGTTTCAGATATTTCAGAATCAGGTTAAACTCTTCTACTTACCAGAGCTCCTAGATTTAAGTCATCCTCACCCTCCCCTCAGAATATCAGCTTCATGAAGACAGTGATATTTATCTACTTTTTCTCTTGCTGTTTCCCCACATGTACCTGCAACAGTGCCTGCTGCATAGGAGACCACTGATAATGTGTTTTTTCATGAAGAATCAACTCAGTCTGTCAATTTGCCACATCTCTGAACCTAGAAGTATTGTGTTTTTCTGAGAATAATTAGTAAAGTAGCCTCAGTCAATGACAGCACTTGAAAGAAGTTGGAAAAGGCATTAATTCCTATCTAACCCCTTTTTAAAAACACTAACTCCTCCCATTCTTACAAGGACCAATTAAAGATACTCATATATTCCAATCTAGAAGTGAACTGAGTGGATTCAACAGTCTGTTAATGACAATTGAACAAAATTAACTTTTAGTGTCTTTTTGAAGTAGGTACGGATAACGTGTATCACAAAAGAGGTAAATTGTTAAGTCAGGGCAAATGAAGTTAAGATATTTAAATCAAGTTATTTTAGAGAGCTCTTAAGCTAATTATGCTCAGAAAAGTAGCTGCTTCTTGGCTTATAAAAGATAGCACCTCTTTCAAACAGGTGTAGCTGGGGTAGGATGGTACACTTAGCAAGACTCCTTAGTTCTCTGTGTGGCCACTTAAGAGAGATTTTAGAGATTTCCTAGGTATCTCCAAAACGTTACTCTGTTTTTGAGGGATTGCCTGAAATATCATTGATGGCACTTAAGCCTAAAGAATAATCCCTTGTTAAAATATAGATATCCATGGGAAGGATGACATTTTAAGCTGTTCCTGTCATTTTTATTTCATTGAAGGCAATGGCTATAATCAGGTTTTGAGTGAGGCAATGAAAGCAGAGATAACAAAGCCTTTGGACACTCAAGAGAGAAAAGTGCCAGCTTCTAAGGACCCAGGCTTCCTATGTGAGGCCTGTGGTCGGGTTGGCGTGAGCTCTGTCCTGGGGCTGAGTCCTGGAACACACAATCTAGATTTGTTTTTTCTTATTTCTTGGCACAACTACCTGATTAGATGAGGTTGAAAGTCTTGCAAAAACTAAGTCAGTTCTCATTTTTTTTAATTTTAAAATGGTGTTGGGAGATCCTGCCTTTTGTAACAACATGGATAAACCTGGTGGACCTTCTGCTAAGTGAAATAAGCCAGGGACAGAAAGAAAAATACTGTTTAATGACACTTACATGTGAAATAAAAAAAAAAAAAAAACACAGTAACAGAGTAGAATGGTGGTTACCAAGGGTGGGGAAGGGGAAGACCTGGGGAGATACAGGTCAAATGGTACAAACTTGTAGTTGTTTAGGTTAAATAAGTCTAGGAATCTAATATACAGCAGAAGGGCTATAGTTTGTTATATTGTATTGTGTGTTGAAAATTTGCTAAGGAAGTAGATTTTAGGTGTTCTTGCCACAAACATGTACATGCACACACAGAGGTAATTATGGACAGTGATGAACTTGTTAGATTGCCACCTAACTTTAGTCAACATTTCAGTCAACATTTTGCCGTGGATACGTACATCAACACACCATGTTGTACACCTTACATTTACACAATTAAAGAAATGGTTTTCAGTGAAGTGAAAACGTTAGGGAAAAAGTGAAACTACTCATAAACTGTATTTAACCTCAGCAGTTGACTGTTTGAAATCTACTCAACCTTCTTCCTTTTCCTCTCTTTCTTCTACTCTCTTTCCATGGATTGCCTAGGCTAATTCACCACTTTCTAGACAACTCAGTCCTGAAGCGTCTCATTCCAGGATTTATCTCACTCACTGGTGTTTGGCCTTACCTTAATTCATCTTTTTATTCAACAAGGACAGGAAGTGACCCAAGGAGATAGTTATCACCTCAGCTTTCTTCATTTTGCCTAGGGATAACTTTCAGGTAACAGCTACTAATTATTCCTTTTTAAAAATTACAACCCTAGGAGTTCTATTCCTAAAGATTCACAATGTTTTGGGGGAAGATCCTGTTCCTGGCTCCAATACTAGAGTTTGTAATATTGCCAATTTTACCGAATTGAAAGAAATGGCTAAAATCAGTTTCTAAGCGAGAATTGATATTGCTCATTTTTGATAAAACCCCAACACAATGGCTTGTTATATTGTGAAATGGTTAGGAATTGAGTGATTATACTTTCAATCTATGAATACTCTTGAGCATGTTGATTTTTACTTTGGTAAAACTGTGTTCTCTTTTTCAGGCCACAAGCTTTTCTTTCAAAAATGGATACCCAGCCACCCCCAAATAAATTCATCATTTCTATACTAACACTTAATATAAGCAACCTTGCCTTTTTATTTCTCCAAAGGTGAGTCAAAGTTTAGAAATAAATATGTAATAATAGAAAACTATTCGTTTGGGTAGACTTAGATGTCTGTGAGAATAATAACACTAAATACTCTGGAAAACATTTATAATTCACCCTGTGTTATGCTGCAGTATACATCTAAAAAATACATACTGATTGAATCCTTGAAGTCAGAGAAGCTAAAGACTCAGCCTTTACTTGCAAGAAATTTACACTTAATATGTGAATGACTGAAGTAAATGATAGAAATGATATTTCACAAATGAGTTTCCAATAAATAGTCACGTGGGAGTTTAGAAAAGAAAGCAAATATATTTTTTCTGGCTAAGAGATTTACAGAAGCAGTGAGTAGAAGGCTCTTTGTTGGGCTTTAAAGTTCACATATTTAAAATGTCCAGCCATGGAGGAAGAGCACTTCAGGTGGAACAGAAACATGGCAGTGGACAAGTGCGAGTGAATGTAGATGAGAGGTGTTGTCCATTTTTACCTGAGAGTGAAAGCAGATCCAGTTATGAAGATGTGTTGATCTAACACTTGGAAGGACAGTAATAATTGCCCAGCCCATTAGTGTGCCCTTGGTGGTGTAGGCAATGGGGGCAGGCCCTGGATATATTAAACAGGACAGAATCATTATAATTGTGCATTAGGAAATTTAATTCTTCAAAGATGTATGGTGAATTAGAAAGGGAAAGAGTCTAACATTGGAGTCCAGTTAAAAGGGCCTTTGCACAGCCCATTGAATATCTGGAATGTTGAATGCTAATACTAGGAATATTTCCACAACAGAGGAAATGATAAGCAGAAAATGATTTTATACGTGTGTGGAAACCAGTTGAAGGTAGAGTTATAAATAAGGCTGGGACTAATAAGTGACAGAATGGAGTATAGACAACTGAAGATGGAAACTTGATTCATTTATATTAATCAGCAGATGGGGATAAATGAGTTAAGGGATGTTCACCTTCCAGGTGACATAGTACAAAAGTATGCACCAGCTACAAAAGTGCATGAAGCCTTAGTACTTAGTATCCTTTCCAATCACAGCTGCAAAAAAAATCATACCATGCCTCAGTATTCTCATTCAATATAATGTCAATAATCAGAGAGGTGATCACATCAGCAAATTCCATCTATCGGGTCCTGGAAACAGAGAAACACAGCGAATCTTTACAAATCTATCAGTATAATCTGAGTGTTAACTAAAGGTAATCAGGCAAGAGTAAATATGGTGGTCTGTAAACATGGGTATCTGCCACGTACAATGTCAGGTAAACATTGTCACCTGGTATTAAAAACACTAAATATCCCCATAACATTAATTCAGCTACTATGCATGTAGATTTTACCATGGACTCAACAAATTACATGGTAAGATCTTGTAAAAGATATCTGGGAACTTCAGAACAGAACTTAGAGCAATGGGAATTCCTATCCAATCCAACATTGTATATTTCAAATGTGTGCATTTAGGGGACTCAAATGATAATTCTTTTAGGACTTTCCCAGTTCCCTATTCCTCCCACTAACACAATCTATTTTTCTCAACTTTCTTTGCAATGTATCTGGGTTCCCGTATCAAAACCTTAACTCTAAGTGATAACATTATAATTGTGAAACTTCGGTTTAGTTTGAAGCTTGTCAGTGCACCACTAACCATATAATGTATTTTTATTACAGAGACTTTTGAAAAATGATATAATTATAGTGAGGATAGAAAATATCTACCTCAGTGATTGAAAATCACAGTGGGAGTAAAAGTAGGTAGAGATAGACATGTAAATGTCCCTAGCTAAAAATTTCAGGTTCTATTTCTAGATTGCTTTCGTCTTTATGGTAATTCTTTCTAACAGGACTAGGAATCATTTTATTTGATTGTGGAAGCAGAGAATGACAAGGGATGGACCTCTTGAGATGACAGCCTGACAGCCTTTAAATCAAGGAGGATCTCTTTTTTAGCAAGCATGAAGATTAAACAGACTAATGAATCAGTGTTTTAGACCATCCAGTCCTGGGAGATCACATCAGAGTCCCATCAGCCACGGTCAGGTCAAGGAACATTCTTTCCTGTCAACTGGCAAGCCTCCTATTGTTGTGTTGAAAGTCTTGCTCCTCTCTGGGAAATTACTCTACTTAATGGAGACAGATGTCACTGCACATAATTTTATAGTTCTAAGGATCTAAAAGGTAAGCTCTCCTTAACCAGTGTAGTTGGGGGCAAAAAAAATGTGGTTGTGTCTATTTTATATTCTGGAATTAGTTTCTTTCCACCATATGTCAATTTCATTTTTAATAGAGAAATTTTTATTCTACTTGTCTAAATGTTCTCATAAAAAGGAAATATCCAATGTGCCATTGCCTTCAGAGTTTCCTAGAAATTCCTTGATCTGTCACCATTCAGTGGACATGAATGTAAATTTTAAGAGACTTAAAGCTTTCAAGAGGGCTCTGAGTCAAGCTCCTTCTCACCTCTCAGTTATATCTCTGGATTAATCAAAATTCGTGATGCAGTTCTTTTGAAGTTGTTAATTTTATTTGAGACAGTCATATATGCTCAGTACATAGGGAAGCATAAGTGCAGTTTTTTTCTTTCCTTCTCCTAGCCAGTATTATTCTAGAAAACAAAATTACGTAAAAATTGCACTGAAGTTGCAAAGCAGATATTAGATTTTTGTTCTAAAATGAATCTCGATGATGCTTATCTTAATGAATAAGAGATAGGAATTTCTTTTAATTAAACAATTCATTGTTTCAATTAAACAAACTTCATTTTGTTTCATTGCCATCCTTTAAGTATGGGCAACTTTTGTCTTCCACATTCTGCTATTTCCTGTTGCTTCTCTGCTGACATTTTGCCAGCAAACAGAATAGCAGGCTATGAGTGCACATCACCTAGTTTTAATACAATATTAGTATCTGATCTTTAACTCATTAAATGACAAGACTTGTCATCTTTGACTTGCTACTATTTAACATTGCAGACCTGTCTCTAATAGCTGTAACACATATTATTCCCTGAAACATTTGTGAGCAGTAAGCATGACAGAGTAAGAATTAGTTTAGCAGGAAAAAGCAAAATGATTTCATTTCCAGCGCAGAGATATATTTCTGCACTAGCTGTGATCATATTTTTACGTCACAACTATTGATTCAGGGGTTACTTTAAACTAATTTATAATAATTCTGTTAATCATTATATTAACATTTAAATATACATGTTAATTTAAAAATATAGATACATACTCTAAAATTTCAACAAAAAGTATTAAACATTTTTAAAATTTGCTTTTCCTTTTGAATCCACAAATGCTTTTAATGAATTGGTGCTTGGGTACTGAGCCAGTTTTAACTCGCCAGAGGCCCATGTCATTTATTTTCTTGTTTAACCGTGAAAAGAACATTAAAAGAGTGGCTCAAAACAAACCAACCAACAAACAACAAATTCACCCCTTTTCAGGTCTTCATAGAGATTTATGTCCACTCAATGAGCTTATCATGGGTAAGGGCTGTTAGAGATTCCAAAGAAGCAGAAGTCATGACCTCTCACCTCAAGTATTCGTAATGTTGCAGGGAGATGTGAAATACACATATGAAATAACAACAGAACACATGCAAGTCAGCGTATTAATAACATATGATATTACAGAACAGATGATATAAATAAATTTTGAAGAAGTGTAAAGTAAGGGAAACTTTGCCTTGTCCTGTGGTCAGACAAGAAAGGAAGCTATTAATGTAATCTCTGTAGGAAATATACATTTAGGTTTGGTTAAGTGAAGTGAGGATGGTGATCAAAAGTTAGGGGTCTAGTGTGAGTTCTTGCAGAAAGGCCCAGCAGAAGAAGGAAGCTAGGCCTAAGAGTGAGCTCTCTTCATCTTCACCTGGAGACTCTTTGGCGCTGGATGGGCTGACGGGATTTATATGCCTCTTCCCTCTCACTTGGGTTGTTGCTTGTTTTTCTGGAAATTACGTATTCTTGGGGATACTTTCTGCGGCTCTTATTTACTCATAGTGTGACAAAAGAGTGTGCCTGGTGGAAAATAATACAGATTGCAGGACCATCCAGCGACTCTGCCATGCTCATGCTTTCTGTTTCCCTGGACACCTAAGGCATACTAGATGGCATCCAACTGCCCTGTCATTGAGATGAGTCAGCTCTGCTCTGAATATTCCCTTATTTTAGCAAGGTGACATCATGCTGAGTGGCATACATGGTTGTGGCTGTGCAAGAAAAGTATACATGACCTGTGGTTGTGGCAATCAATGGCGAGAGCACTGGGAAGGAGCCATGGAGTTCTAGCTCCTTCTACAGTGAGCCAATCCTTATCTTGCAGAGACCTCATTTTCCTCATAGAATATAAGGAGGTTGGGCTGGAGTATCACTAAGGTAACTTTCAGAAATTATTTTCTATTATTTTAAATTTGTTCCAAAGTTAGAAACATTAATAAGGCAAAGGATACCTTCCCAGCACAATACTTACTTCATGAAGAAGTAAAATAAAGCACAAATCTTTAGCCAATGAATTTTATGTAATCTCTTCCCTATGTCTACCACCATTTGAGCAGGGAAATCTATAAAATCCAGGCCAGTGTCAGTGCCAGCATCCTTAGCCAGGAGTTTTCAGTAGTTCCTCAGGGATATGGCTGACTTTTCAGGTGGACCTGGTGAGGTATTGCACTCCCCAGCAAGAGGAGGCAGCTGGGAATTTGGATTTGAAGCACAAGAGAGAACAAGGGTCTAGAGATAGAAATTTGGGGTTCTTACAAAAATTGGGCTCCTTATAGAATCTGACTTTAGAGACGTCCTACTCTACTTCCTCCATTAGGAAAATTGGAGGTTAAATAAACTGCTGTATCCACCTAGTGAATTAGTGGTAATTCTCAGAAACCCAGATTTTAGTCTCCTGATCTAGCCCACAGACAGTACTTCCATTTAATTAGTCAAATTGATTGAAAACTTAATTACACATAATCCCACACAAAAGGGAGTTATGATAATCACACATGCAAAGCTTCAGGGATGTAAAGGATAGGAGGGCCAAGTTGATGATAGCCAAAGAACTGGGAGAGCAGAATTCCCACTGTAGCCACCTTCTCTTCATGGGGGAAGCACTTAATAAAGGAATGTGGGTTTTCTGGTTGTAACATTTTATAAGGTAGAATTAAAAACATGAGACAAGGTTTCAGGTAAAGCGGAGGGTGTCATTAAAAAAAATCCTCTAGAGGAAAATTCCCTTAACTCAGACTGAATCTGCTAGAGAACTGGTTACAATAACCTAGCTTGGACATTCTCAGACAAGATACAAAGCTTGCTCAGATGCCATTAGGAGATATCCGGATATTCTCAAGCCCCCCTCCCCGGTGTTCTTATGATGCATTCACACTCACACCCTCACTGTGGTGTTTATTGTAATGATTTGGGAGACAGCCTTAAGCATCTTGTAACTTGGAAAAATAGTTCTCTTAGGAAGCAAGTGAGGCCACAAATCTGAGGATTAGAATTTCCCATACCAAATACAACATGAAATAGAAGAGGATCATATATAATAAAATAAAACATTGCCTTGTGTATCTTTTTCTTTCACATGAACACAAGCTCTTACCAACAAGCAACCAAAACCCTGAAGTCTGAAGGAGGAAGCAAAAAGTCTTTGCCTTCACGAGGCTTTTACCATCTATTAATGACTTAATTTCTAAAAGGTTTCCAAAAAGTGTTTTTACTTTTGGCCAAGTGCGGTGGCTCATGCCTATAATCCCAGCACTTTGGGAGGCTAAGAAGGGTGGATCACTCGAGCCCAGGAGTTCAAGACCAGCCTTGGCAACATGGTGAAACCCCGTCTCTACCAAAATTACAAAAAGTACTCAGTCTTTAAATAAATAAATAAATAGTTTTCTTTTTTGAAAAAGTGTTTTTATTCCAGAATAATTATTAATTGTTTTTCTTACAATGTTTCTGCAGAAATAAAATTATATTATACAGTCTTTATACTTGGTAGCTCTATCTAGAGACTGCCAAATTAACTACTTGGAAAATTGGATCATAATGAATCGACTTTATTGTGAGGCATATCCCTAATCAAACCACACACAGAAACACACAGACACACACACACACACACACACACACACACACCCCACAGCATAACACTAGGTTAGCCCTACTTATGTGTTTCTTTTTTGTTTCTACCCACTGAATTTAGTAAAATAAGTTTGCTTAAGCATATGATGTTAACTAAGAAAAAATAAATCTAAAAAAAAAACACATTTTGGGGTAGGATTATTCTTTTATTATTGGTTTGTTTCATTCTAGAGATAGGGAAAAATAATTAGAAGTTATAATTTTCCTAAAGTTAAATACAAAAATGATTAATAAAGATTTAAGGGAAAAGTAAATATAACTTTCTATTCTCCACAATCTACATCTCATCAAATTCACAGCAGAGATAACTGAATATACCAAAGATTTTTTATTGGATTAGCCATTGATATAATCTCCTGAGTACATTCATTTGACAGATGAAGGCTTTGTCTGTCAACTCAAACGAAAATATTACCCTGGAAATGTTAAGCTGAGAAGCATTTCAAAACCTTCCTTTATTCAAATTGTAGCAGACTGTTTTGACAAGGAAGTGCAGACAGTATTTGCAGGAAATAAAGGGCCAGGTCTTTTTACCTCTTAGGAGAAAGGAGAAAGGAAAGGGAGAAAGATTGTAATTTATCTTCATGGACATTTGTCTTGCCAAGACATTAATTTTTTTTTTGGTACATAGTTCGTGAGTACATAATGTGTTTGATGATGGTGGTTTTTTAGAAGCTACGTTAAATTCTCCTCTATGGCTAAAGATACCAAAATACATCCATAGATCTTGTCCAGAGTGGATATCTAATCTGGCTAGATGGGATGGCCTTTAAAATAAGTGTATTTTTTTCCTTCTTTTGATAGAAACAGTGATGAAGCTTTCTGGATTGTGTTAAGACTTAGGACCCTGAGTTTAAGCTTTCAAATTAGAAAAAACCAAAGGCATATACTGCTACTAGCATGTATTAGGCCCTGAGCATCTGGACTGTGTGCATGTTGACTGTCTCTGTGGAAGGAATCTTATCAATGTAACACCACTGTTGCCATCAAAGAAACCTTCCCACCTCTCAGACCATTATATTAGTTTTCTATTGCTCCACAATAAATTACCACAAACTAAGTGGCTTAAAACAGTGCCCATTTACTATCTGTCAGTTTCTGGAGGTCAGAGGTTCACACAGCATAGCTGGGTTATCTGCTCAGTGTTTCACAAGCCTGAAATCAGGATGTTGGTAGAACCGCATTCTCATCTGGAGCTCAAGGCCCTTTTCTAAGCTCATTCAGGTCATTGGCAGAATTCAATTTTTTTGTGTTGGAGAACTGAGGTTCCTGTTTTCCTGCTGGCTATGAGCCAGTGATCTCTCAGCTACCAGAGGCTGCCCCTGGGTCATAGCCACATGGCCGTATGGCTCCTTTGTAGAATAGCATCTTACTTCAGAGCCAGCAGGACAATCTTTCTTCTGTCTGCCAAGATGGAGTTGTATAATGTAACTCAGTCACAAGAGGGACTATCCCGTCGTGTTCACAGGCACCCACACTCAAGTAGAGGAAGTAGTATAGAGTGTGCACACCAGGTGGCAGGCATTTCAGAACGCTGCCTGCCATAGCCATGTGCTATCTTAGGCCTATTCCTGGCCTGCTGTTTCTCATCAACCCATCAGTGTCAATGCTGACTAGCATTCCAGGGGAGATGTTGTGGAGATGTGCTCCAGCCTTGTCCCCAGTGCTCTTGCTGTGCATAGACCCTAGATGATCTCATCCTTATGTAATTGTAAACTACCATCAACCTGTTGGTGACGTGCACATCTATCCGTACTTCGAACCCAGTCTTCTCTCATAAGCTAGCAATCTCTACACTTCCAGCCTGATGGCCTTGTCCACCCTGGAATCCCTTCAGCACCACAATTTTCCCAGTTGTCAAAGGACACTCTGTGTAATGTCTTCAACCTGTTTCCAATTTTATAGTCTGTCTCTTAGATGGTGACACCATCTATAATACCTAGAAACTTGAATGGTATATTTGTTCTTTTTTCTTCAAACTGCTTACTTAAACAATTACCAGGTTCTGCTAATTTTATATCATAAATAGTCCTAAAAATTCTTCCCTTTTGCCTTTCTGCTGTTGTCCTAAGTCAGACCCTCATCACCTGTCTACTTAGTCTTTCAGCCTCTATCTTCTGCAATAAAAGGATCCCTCTCATTTATAAAGAAGATCATGAAACACTGATACTTAAAACCTTCAATGGCTCCAGAGTCCTAAATGAAGGACTGCAACTTTCTTTACAAAGCATCAAGGACTTCAAAGACCTAGAACTTGCCTATAAAGGTAGTTTCACTTTCTCATTTCTGTGCCTCTCATGTACTTCATATGAAGGATTACAGCAAAACTTTCTCATTCTTGTATAAATCATGGTATAATAATCATCTTCATATATAATTGCCAATAAATGTTTTCAAATATTTACTGGCCCTGAACATGGATGTTTCATGTTTTTGTCATCATTTTAAATAATAAACCAGTTCATTGAGATAATTTAATAACTAATTGCTGTTATTTTTGTAAAAATTACCTTTTAATCCAATAGGAGTAAGCCTTTGAAACAATCCTTGGTGGTGAGTAGGACCCGCATATTCCGACACTCCCATCTGAGCTCTTAACCTCCATCTTCGGAACTTCCTGGTAGACAATCTGACATTCTTCTTGGGATGGTTCTCCAGTCTCCTATCTCAGTTCATAATAAAATAGAGCCATCCATGTACATGTCAGGGGAGATGATCAGACCAGGCTGGCTCATAAGAACACAGAGTAAAGCGAAGCTGATTCTAGACTTCAGAGTTTCTGACATGACTTCATATTCATTTCACTTGTTAACACTCACTCAAATCTAGTTAGGACTTAATAATGAAAGTATTTTCCTGTGCTTGTTTCATTTTCCAGTAGCAACACAGACACAGACACACACACACACGGCCCCAAAATACGTTTTGCCTCTTGAATGAGAACGGTGACCACAGCAAACACATTGTGGTAAAATATAAATTCCAACATATCTCAAAATAATAAGAGCTATTTATGACAAACCCATAGCTAATATAATATGGAATGGATAAAAACTGGAAGCATTCCCTTTGAAAACTGGTACAAGACAAGGATGCCCTCTCTCACCACTGCTATTCAATGTATTATTGGAAGTTCTGGTAACAAAACAGACACATAGATCAATAGAACAGAATAGAGATCTCAGAAATAAGACCACACTTCAACAACCATCTGATCTTCGACAAATCTGACAAAAACAAGCAATGGGGAAAGGATTCCCTATTTAATAAATGGTGTTGGGAAAACTGGCTAGCCATATGCAGAAAACTAAAACTCGACCCCTTCCTTACATATTATACAAAAACTAACTCAAGACGGATTAAAGACTTAAATGTAAAAGCCAAAACCGTAAAAATCTTAGAAGAAAATCTTGGCAATACCATTCAGGACACACGTATGGACAAAGATGTTATGATGAAATCACCAAAAGTAATTGCAATGAAAGCTAAAACTGACAAATGGGACCTAATTAAACTAAAGAGTTTCTGCACTGCAAAAGAAACTATCATCAGAGTAAACAGGCAACCTAGAGAATAGGAGAAAAGTTTTGCAATCTACCCATCTAACAAAGATCTAATATCCAGAATTTATATGGAACTTAAAACAAATTTACAAGAAAGAAACAAACAACCCCATCAAAAAGTGGGCAAAATACATGAACAGACACTTCTCAAAAGAAGACATTTATGTGACCAACAAACATATGAAAAACAAACTCAACATCACTGACCATTACAGAAGTACACATCAAAACCACAATGAGATACCATCTCAGGTCAGTCAGAATGGTGATTATTAAAAAGTAAAAAAGCAGTAGATGCTGGTGAGGCTGTGGAGAAACAGGAATGCTTTTACACTGTTGGTGGGAATATAAATTACTTCAACTTTTGTGGAAGACAGTGTGGCAATTCCTCAAGGATCTAGAACCAGAAATATCATTTGACCCAGCAATCCCATTACTGGGTATATACTCAAAGGAATATGAATCTCTATTATAAAGATATATGTGCACATGTGTTTGTTATAGCAGTATTTACAATAGTAAAGACATAGAACCAACCCAAATGCCCATCAATGATAGACTGGATAAAGAAAATATGGTACATATACACCATGGAATACTATGCAGCCATAAAAAGGAATGAGATCATGTCCTTTGCAGGAATATGGATGAAGCTGAAAGCCATTATGCTCAGCAAACTGACACAGGAAAAGAAAACCAAACATAGCACGTTCTCACTAATAAGTGGGAGTTGACCAATGAGAACACGTGGACACAGGGATGGGAACATCACATACCAGGGCTTTTTGAGGTGGTGGGGGATGAGGGGAGGGAGAGCATCAGGACAAATAGCTAATGCATGCAGGGTTTAATACATACATGATGGGTTGATAGGTGAAGCGAACCACCATGGCACATGTTTACTTATGTAACAAATCTGCACATTCTGCACATTTATCCCATAACATAAAGTAAAATAAAATTTAAATATATATATTTATAAATTCCATAAAGCTAAGAAAATTTTTTGCTCTGTATGTTTATTGACTACATTCCAAGAGCAAAAATCATTGCCTACCATACAGCAAGTGTTCAATGTATATTTGTAAAAAAGCAATTAAATCCAACTCAACCACCCTGTGTATAATCAATGCTTCTTTCCACCATGGGCATCCCATAACAAACAGGCACAGTTAATTCCACAACAACAATGTATGGTTTGGTTGTTGTTACTGTCTTAACCCTCATACGAAGGAAAGGAGAGTGAGGATTATCCCAGTTTTACAGATGATATAACTGAGATGCAGAGTTTTCATGTCTGGGAAGTAAAGGAAAACATCAAAGTAGATGTGGGCATCATGAAGACCATAGTGTAAATGCTCGTATAGATGTACTTACATGAACGCATGTCATTTACATTACACCAGTGAATTTCATTTCTGTCTCATCTTATTGCCCTAGAATGCAGGAAAAAATGCATTTTTTTCTTCTTTCAGAACTAATATGAATTCTACTGGCTGCCTTGAAAAGCTGTGCCCTTTAATCAACCATAGCCTCCTGAGCTTTTGGTCCCATGTTGAAAGAAATTTGCTTTCACAGCCTGATTCCCTACCTTTACTCTGGCTTGCATCTCCCTCAGGTGAAGAAATCCCTTTGAAGTCACTTGTGTCCTGGTGCTCCTATGTAACTCTCATTACCACTGAGAAGGGTTTACAGATGTCGAGACCAAGGTATGGGGCCAGTGGCCCTGACTCATCCAGCAAGTCAGATGTGGAATCCGGAAGTCATCTTGGAGTCCTCGCTTGCAGGCCTTTTAATCAATTTCATTCTATTAAAAAATCCAACCTTTAAGCAGAACATATGCTTGACAAAAATTTAAGTTACAGCAAAATTGCATCTGGAAGAGAATATCTGTGAGTCTGCAAACCTGTAACTGCAGTGGACAGTGTTGTAGGCTAGTGAAACTGTAAGTGAAACAGATCACTGTTATAAGGTATTTACTGTATACTATCTAAATGTCAACAAAAGCAGCACAAATACTACTACTGCTGTGAAAAATAACACTTACTCAAAGAGATGTATATAAATATAGGCTGCAGGCATACAGTCTGAAATGCAGCTACTGCTGGCTAAAATCATGTGGCAGACACAGATATTTTATCTTCTATTTCTCTGCTCTTGAATTCCATTGATCTAAGTGTTTGTGTCCCTCTGAGTTTATAATGCTCTTTTAATGGCTGCTAATTGTCATTTACAGAACTGGACCATATTACCTCAAACTTGTTTAGAAAGAAATAATGTTTCTTGGAAACAAATAAATCTTATCATGTAGCAGATTAAAGATCATCACAAAGACAGTTACAGTTAAGTCATAAAAATATATTGACAGGTCTCCTCCTCAATTCAAAATCATCATCAGAAAAAGAAGACATGATTCAGTTGAAAATAAAACTGTAAAAATATCACAGTGATACCAGTTCATTGTAGGACCTAGATTAAAGTAAGAACTAGAAGTAACAGAACACCTCCCAATTTTATCCTTCACAGTTTCTACTGAAACTAATAGTGACTGTAGTGAATAATTAGCCTTTGTGTCTCCCCACAGTTTTGCAAGTAGAATTTATAGTTATAACATACAGACTTTTCAAAGAAAGGAATGTTTATTTGACCTACCTGTATGTCTTGAAATATGTATTTAGCACAGCTGTTCTTTTGTGTTAAACTCATCGCAAAATGCAGCTTTGATGTAACCCACCATTGATCTGCAGTAAGTGGAAACAAAATCTCTCCTTAATTAGTATCATCCAATCACTTTTTTACATTTCTGCAGAACACATACTGTGAACTGTTTAATGGACTATTATTTAGAAAAGTGGCAAAGAGCACACCAAAAAAAAAAATACAGTGAAAATAAAAACTAGCAGTGTCAATGAAAAATATGTTGTGAAATAATGGAAAATAAGATGTTTCGTTAACTTGAGCTTCCCCAGCATTTTACCGTAGAGATGAACGGAGCCCCAATTACTGCCAACAATGGAGACACACAGAGAGAGAGAAAGAGAGAGAGAGAGATTCATTACCTTCAACACCCTTAACTGTCTACCAGTGAATTCGTTTATCTGCTTCTTTTTCTACAGAACCTGCATGGAGTGGGGAGGAATAAACAAAGAACTGAGTGGAGTAAATGTGTCTCAAATTACCACAAACACACTGTGACTCAATGCACTTTTCATTTCTCTCCTCATTAACTGTGTCTTGCTCAAAATGAGCGACTGGGTCCAAACATAATCAAGTCCCACAGATAACAATTGACTTGACTGCTGGGGCAGTCACCACCTCCTAGCTAGTGGGAAATAAATTCAGAAATAAAATGAGTTAAAATAAAATTCACTCTGCTCTCTTTTCAGCACTTAGATAATTTGAAGACCATCAAGGCCCATAGAAACAAGCCATCTCTCTGTGAAAAAGAAGGTCTCTGAACCACCACCAATAAGTCATGCCTTTAGTGTTATCAAGAGTGAGTATAATTATCCAGCAAAAAGGCCAGCGAAGTGTCTTGGGTACTGGAATTTTTTTTTCTGAAGTCTTTATCCATAGTGCTACCTGAATAATAATAAAATAAAAGCTGTGCTACGGAGAGCCAGACAGCAGAGAGGGGGATGGAAATAAAAACAAAATAAAAAGAAGAACCCCTCAGATTGGTGAAATTGACCTATAATTTTGAGAGCACATTATAATTTGAAAGCAGTAGAAAAAGAGTCCTTTTTGTTGTGGTTTTATGTTAGAAGAAGAATTGGTTTCAAGAATTTTTGAATTTTGGTGTGTATGCTCTTTTAGGACCTGGTTTTATCAAAGCAGTGATTTCTCAGCAAAGCAGATGAGGTAAAAGCTTCCTGTTTAGAAAAGTGTTTTTGTTTCTTTGTTTGAATGCTAGCTAGGATACTTTATTTGGCTCTAAATTAGGATGAAGTGCTTGTAAAGGATGCAGTCACTCCAGGTTTGCCTCTTAGAAAGAGAAATGCATGTAAGAAAAACTGTCCCTCCTTGGGCAGTGGAAATGTAAGCCAGTCACATCAGGAAATGGGTTTCAGACTAAGACTAACCAGCTTTGCATGAGAGTGACACCAAATGACTCTGACGCTTTCCTGACTACAGTTTATCTGCTTTTACCTCATGATGCTGTGACTGCAACTGGTTGTTAACATCCACCCCTAAGGCACCTGTACAATAGGCTAGTATCTCACCAACTGATCCACCAAATGTGGAGGCCAGGAGAGTGGAAGTAGGTTAGGACCAAAGAGAACATCCAGGTGATGCTGACACCTGCAAAGTGTGAGAACCACAGCAAAACTCACATCCTACTTCCGGGTGTGATGGAAATTACAATGAATTAGCCCAAGAAGTATATTACATTAGTCTGGGGGACCAAAATATACAAAGTACTAAATAAAATTCTAATTAATTGGGATTATAGAATGCCATCATGCTGGGATAGTTGTCCCTGTTGATTTGCTTTCTTCCACTTCTGCTCTTCAGCCTGTCTCATCTTATCCTGAACCCTGCACCTTGAACCCTGCTTTCTGCTATGGTTACCCCCACTGCTATTGTTAATTCTCTGGACTGGACTTGATTGAACACAGATGAGGATCATTCTGGGAGCCATTGGAAGAAAACAAAACACATTGTTCCTACATTAAATTGTGTCATTCATCGAAGAGGTAGTGGGACAGTTTTGCAAAGGAAACAACATTCTTATAACTATATCAACAACTGAAACCTCTCTGAGCAAAAACCGTGCCCTCCAGAATATATGGTGGAGGTTTCACCTCTACAATAGGTTAGTATCTCACCAACTGTTCCATTTTTGTGTCTTATGTTTAGTGCCAAGGTGGGACCTCGTGGGAAGCTAAAGAATAAAAGAACAAAATGAGGACAGCTCCACTTTCAGCTGTGGGGTGATTCTCAAACGCAGTGGCTATCAGAATCATCATTAAACCTAATGAGAAATTTGGAGGCCAGGAGAGTGGAAGTAGGTTAGGACCACGGAGAACCCCGAGGTGATGCTGACACCTGCAAAGCGTGAGAACCACAGCAAAACTGACCTCCAACTTCTGGGTGTGATGGAAATTACAGTGAATTAGCCCAATAAGTATTACATTTGCTTGGGGGACCAAAATATACAAATTACTAAATAAAATTCTAAATTAGGATTATAGCTCAATTTGATACGATTGATACCATTATACTCCCACATGTGACTTGGGATTAAAATTCCCTTTTTTCTAGTCTAGAGTTTAGTCAAATTATTGAATTCTAAAATCACCAAATGCTATTTATTATGGGTCTACAGGGCTCTCATAGGGATCTTACAAGATTACTCCAGTTTCTGCTGTGGGGAACATAAAGTATGAATCAGCATCTAATAGCCCTAATTAGATGTTAAATTTAAAATCTATGTATAGATAAATATATTTGCACAAAATTAAGCCAGTGTCCTTTCTGTAAGAATTCTCAGGGACTTAACGTTTCTCGTATGCTGAGTAAATTCAAGAGATGGAAGTATTTTCCAAATTTATTTCATTGTAGAAAAGTATTCCAGAAACATCTCATCAAATGAGACTCCACTGGAGAATCTTTGGGAATCACTAATCTAAATTAAAATATTAATATCTTATCATGAGAAAACAAATCTATTTAAAAGGAGGCAAGTTTTAGTTTATATTTATAAGTTCAGTTTTAAATAGGAGGGTCTTAGTAACTGAAGATGAAAAGACAACCCTTACAAATGATACTGAGTGTGATAGAAAGATTTTTCTCTTTAAAATGCTTGTCATATCAAAACTTAAGAACAGGTTCCACGCTGACTTTGTTGACACTATACCAGATGTGCTTTAAAAACAAACAAACAAACAAAAACTAGACCATTCTCTTAAAAAATGGAAAAAGGAAGGTTAGGAGTGAAAATGGGTACAATTTTTCTTTTTTATAACTAATCATGGGGTTCCCAAACAATGCATTTCGTAATCAATTATCTGTTGCATCTTGCTGGGTCCGGTGATTGTCCAACTGATAACAAGTAGATGAGTTTGGTGGTTCTTTTGTCTTTCCCAGTATACAATCTATCGTACTGTTTCTAAGATACAAACAATATCTTGAAAACAGCAAGAAAACTAGCCCAGAGAAGCTGGAATTTGAAAAATTGGCAGAGGAAAGGTTTGAATAAGACTTGTCAAGCAAGTCATAAGACACATCTGCAGTCTAATAAAAGACAATTGCATTTTCTTGGAGTTGTACTTACTTAAAAATTTATTTCCATAAATTTTCAATTATTGAATACCCTTATTTGCCAGCCAATGGCTTGGATAAAAGCCTCATTGATGGGATTGCATCATATGATAATGGGCCCATACCTGTTTCATTTCAGTTACCTGACAGCTCAATAGGGACACGGGGAAAACATTTAAAATATTCTGTTTTTACAGAAAACAAGACACAGAGAGAAGGTGAAAACACTTGTCACATCACTTTCATGCAACAAATGCGAAGTTTCACCCCTCTGGTTCTTCCTCCTCCCTATTGGAGTTTATTGCCTCCTTTCTCATACCTCCTTTTGCTGATGGGAGATGCCATGCACTGACCAAAAGTGTTTCAGCTGGAAAAAGGCTCACAGAATCTAGGAGGATTATCTAGTAAAGAGGCCAATATCATGATCTGTGGCAACCTTCCAAAATACCACCGAAAATTTGGGGGATATTTTAGTTTATTTTTCTTGAAGGCACTTTGATGGACATTAACTCAGGCCAGGACTGTCAGACAGCTTTGTGCTTTATATTACTGTGAAGTTCCTAGTAGTTCTGTTTGGAATTAGGTGACAGAATAGTAAAAAAAAAAAAAAAAAATCAATTACAGCCAATCTTACTATATTTGTATTCAAGTAATAAATAGAACTTTTGAATAACACTGAAATTTAGTGGTGCATAGTTGTAGATCCAGTGAGCTAAGCCATGCTGGTTTCATTATACTTCCATTTAATTTTCTAATTAATCTCAGAAAACATTAATTAGTCTTTTCCACAGGCATCCTGGCACCCTTGGGCCTAAAACATCACAAATATTGCTGGCCTCGAGCAGTAGTAATCAAAATTTCTAATTTGTTTGAATGATCCAGTATCTTTTTCCTTACTTCTCTCTCTGTAAATATTCCTTAATGTCTCTTTAACCCTTTGATTTTAGATTTTCTATGAAGGCATGAATGAAAGGTGAATAGATATCTCAAGACAAAGAGAAATGACAAGACAGAGATAATGAGAGAACATGTTTTTATATGGAGACAGTTGAACTTTTTGCTGGAAAAATGCATGCCCATGTTCCAGGGGGATCATAGTTTGATGCTATTTGAGTGTGGAGCCACCCTGCCATCTGCCCCATTATCCACCAGAATGACTGCTAACTCATCACAAAACTTATAACGTTAACTCACAATGAGATACGTATACAGAAAAATGAACATCGTTAAAATCTAAAAGGACTGAAATTGTAGTTCTTGCTTACATTTTACCATGTAAAGAACACATATTTCACAGCTTCACTCTTTCTGAAAAAACGAACAAATAAAACAAAACAAAACAAACAAAAAAAAAAAAAACAAGAAAAAAGAAGAACAGCAAAGGTGATTTCATTGACCCCAATTTTGGAAGCAAGGAGAAACAAGCATGTGAGATAGTCTACAAAGCAGTGCAAAGCTACTTAAAGAAGAGATATTTGAGCTGTAATGCAAATGCATCATTTAAAAAAGAATAATTTATCTCTGTTGACTACAGAGGATGTAATTAGACTTTCTATATATCATACTGTGTATGTTGAAGGAGTTATCACAGTTACATTTAGATTGAAAATGTCCTTAAAATTTTACTGCAGAATATATTCTACATACAAATTTTTTTTACTGTACAGCTTTTTAGAGAATAATGATTAAATTAATGCCATTGTACTAATAACCAAGATTAGGAACTAAAAATCTATCAGTTCTTAGAAGCTTCCTCTATACCCCTCATCAAGAGTAGCTCCCTTTTCCTCATAGAGGTAACTGCAATATTATCCTAATTTTGTTTTCATCTAATTTGCTTCTTTCTAGTTCTATTCATGTATATGTATCTCCAAACACTACCATATTTGTTTGAACCTATGTTTGAACTTTGTATCAATGTAACCACTCTGTGTTGTATTCTCTTTTGAGATTCATTCATGTTAAAGCATAGGCAGTAGCTTATTGATTTTTTAGTGCTATATTCTGTTGTGTAATGTGGCACCATTTACTTGTCCATTGTTACTACTTAAGACTATTTGAATTAGTTCCAGTATTTACTATTATGAACAATTTTGCCATGGACATTCTTTTAAACATCTCTTGGTTTGTTTGTGCAACCATTTCTCTAGACTATATATCTAGGATTAGACTTGCTGGTTAGAAAGGTCTTTATACATTCAACTTTAAAAAGTAATGGCAAACATTTTCCATAAAAAGTCGTACCAAATTACTTTCCTACCAGCAGCAGAGAAGAATTTCTGCTGTTTCACATTCTGGGC